>NC_000001.11:203487617-203639132 GCF_000001405.40 Homo sapiens
ACTAGGAAGCAGCCATGGGAGAGGGGAAGGGTTCAAGCCCGGGATGGGCCCGCGTGACGTCGATGGGTCCTGCGGCCCCCTTGCCCAACCTCGGGTTTAGGGAGGAGGGTTCACAGTGTTTTTGTGGGGGCGGGGGAAGGAAGAGGCAGCCCCGCCCCCGCCATCTGTTCTCCATCAGTGTGCGCGGCCCAGCCATTTCCACCCTCGGGAGGCGGCTCCTGAGAAACAGGGAGGAAGGGGCGGAGCACCTGGACGTCTCCCAGAAGCCCCTCCACGTTTGAAAATGCGCCTCCTCCTCGGAGACAGACGCATCGGTGCCACCTAGTGGCTGGTGGGAGTAACAGCTGGTCCCAGTCTTGCGCCTGGCCCTCTTCCTGGGGTGATTTTCCTCGGTGGAGGAGGCCCGTGGGGTCCCAACACGGAAGAGCCATGGGCCGTGTGCATGGTGTCGCTCTCCTCTAGGGTCTAGCGGGCACAAACGTCCCCAGGCTGGGCTCATTCCCATCGTGAGTGAGCCCAGGTGAGGACATAGTCGGCTCCCGTTTGTTGTAGGCCCTTCCCAGGTGCCTTCTCAGCTCCCTCATCTGTAAACCGAGGAGGTGGATAAGATGCTCCCGGCCGGGCGCGGTGGCTCACGCCTGTAATCCCAGCACTTTGGGAGGCCGAGGCGGGCAGATTATTGCCTGAGCTCAGGAGTTCGAAACCACCCTGGGCAACATGGTGAAACCCCCGTCTCTACTAAAATACAAAAAAATTAGCCAGGCATAGTGGCGCGCGCCTATAATCCCAGCTACTGGGAGGCTGAGGCGGGAGAATCGCTTGAGCCGGGGAGGCGGAGGTTGCAGTGAGGCGAGATTGTGCCACTGCACTCCAGCTTGGGCGACAGAGTGAGACTCCGTCTCAAAAAAGAAAAAAAAAAGATGCTCCTCTGAGGTCCCTCCGGCGCTCATGTTCCGAGTCTGCAGCTCCACACTTTAAATCATACTCGAATGCAGGACAAGTCCTAAATATTTGCCCCTTCCCTTGCAGTAATTTATTTTCTGTATGGACTGTCCCTCCCCCAGAGGCTTCCCCACCCTCCATTGCCTGGCCCAGGTGAGCAGCTTGGCAGGTCTCCAAGTGGAACCCGGTCCAGACAGGGCTGCCTCGACTTCACCTTTCCCCCTAACTTCCTCCAAGGGATGCTGCCCCTTCTCAGCCCCCTGCGTGTGTATATTGGTGGGAGGCATAGAGGATGGATGTTCTAGAAATGAGTAAGACACAGTGCCCACCCCCAAGTTAGGATGAAAAAAGTTCCAGAGGTTTTTAAGAAATTGGATTAAGCTGGGTCCCTAACTTCAAGAAATTCCCATTATGCTCCTTCTCACCTTTCTTTTTTGCTAATTATGGAAAATAGGGCCCATTTCATCATAGCCTCCTTCCCCCGTGCTCCACTACAATCGCCGCATTCTTTCTAGCTGCAGCTGGTTTCTTCAAGGCTCCTGCTTAAAGTCCACACGTTATTATGGCCGAAAGCAACCTGGTGCTTCGGCCTGGATAAGAGCCCCTTCTGCATCTTATTCACAGCTTGCAGCCTCAGCCCCTTTGATGAGGCCCTCAGGGGAGAGGTCATTACCTTGATCCTGCAAACCCAGACTCGTTGAGCAGCAACGCAATCACCATCATCCCACTGCCCAATCTAGAATATGTCTGCTCTCCTTTGCTCTCTGCAGCTGTAAGCCAGAGGGGATTCAAGGTAAATAGGCTTTACAGGCTCCCCTCCTCCAAACACACACAGAATGGGCTGGTTTCTTTCAAGTTTAAAAAAAGCCCCCTTCTCCATGCACAAGTTCATTCCCTCCATGCTGTCGTCATCGACATATACAGGTGTGTACGTAGGTGTATGTGTGTACTCTGCACGTATATCTCTTCTGTCTTGAAGACCCTGTTAACTTTGTGAAATAACTTCCACATTTCAACACACTTCACAGTACAGGAAATAAAGTAATATGAAAAACACCCTGCGTGAACTCAACGGTGTGAACAGGTCAAGAATAACACTTCAAAGTCATCTTGCCAGCCAGGCGTGGTGGATCACGCCTGTAATCCCAGCACTCTGGGAGGCCAAAGCGGGCAGATCACCTGAGGTCAGGAGTTCAAGACCAGCCTGGCCAACATAGTGAAACCCCTTGTTTACTCAAAATACAAAAATTGGCTGGGTGCGGTGGTACATGCCTGTAGTCCCAGCTACTTGGGAGGCTGAGGCAGGAGAATTGCTTGAACCCTGGAGGCAGAAGTTGCAGTGAGCCGAGATCGCACCACTGCACTCCAGCCTAGGAGACAAAACGAGACTTCATTTAAAAAAAATAAAAATAAAAATAAAAATAAAGTCATCTTGCCACCCACCCCCTACCATTGAGCCACCATGCCCAGCCCCAAAGCCTCTTAATTGCTCTAACAAGATGAGTGGGGAAAAGATTATACTCTTAAGAAATTCCTACGAAAGCTATCCAAAAGCCTTTTCTTTCCTCTTTTCTTATTATTTTTAAATAGAGGCAGGGTCTCATTATGTTGCCCAGGCTGGTCTGGAACTCCTGGCCTCAAGTGATCCTCCCACCTTGGCCTCCCCAGAGTGCTGGGATTACACACGTGAGTCACCATGCCCAGCCCCAAAGCCATTTCTTGAAGAATTTCTCGCAAACTCACAACCCTCATGAAAAATTAATCCTCAGTTCCACGAGACTGCCCACCCACAGACAAAAAAATATATATATTCCTAAAGTCGGACCAGAAATCTGACAGCTGCCTTTGAAACCCAAAGCCTCGGGTTCTTTCAAGCTACATGTACTAAATTGTCGAAGGTCTCCCAGGAGCTCTGTACTGAGGCAGACACAGAAAGACACAAAACGGTCGTCTTTCCTGCCCAAGTAAAGCTTACAGACTAACTGGGGAGATGTAGTGTGCATACAAAACAGTAAAAGAGCCATCTCAAGGACAGAGAGCATAGACCAAGTCATCTGGAATGGTCTACATGCCATGCGGAAGTCCACCGAAGGGTTAGAACAGGGTGTCCCAGACTCTCTCTTCTGAGGGAAGGTTGGTTGCAAAAGTGGGATTCATGACCCTCCCAGGCTACACCATCTTCTTTAGAATGAGAACTGCCAGGTGACGCCCTCGCTGCTCCTACCTGGCTACTAAACATCGACTTCGGTTCACTTCACGGATGTTCAGTGGATATCGGTCACATGCCAGGTCCCCAGCTACGCATTCAAGGATGGATAATATACATAGCAGCACATCCTTGAGGAACTCATACCTTGGTAAAGGGAAAGAAATCCATGAATGGATACCTCTGTGTCCTAAGTGTTTGTAATAATGCTGTGTGTCAGGCCTCTGAGCCCAAGCTAAGCCATCATATCCCCTGTGACCTGCATGTGCACATCCAGACGGCTGGTTCCTACCTTAACTGATGATATTCCACCACAAAAGAAGTGAAAATGGCTGGTCCCTGCCTTAACTGATGACATTACCTTGTGAAATTCCTTCTCCTGGCTCATCCTGGCTCAAAAGCTCCCCCACTGAACACCTTGCAACCCCCACCCCTGGCCACCAGAGAACAACCCCCTTTGACTGTAATTTTCCATTACCTACCCACATCTTATAAAATGGCCCCATCCCTATCTCCCTTCGCTGACTCTTTTCGGACTCAGCCCGCCTGCACCCAGGTGAAATAAACAGCCTTGTTGCTCACACAAAGCCTGTTTGGTGGTCGCTTCACACAGACACGAGTGAAACTACTGTGTATGAACAGTATAAAGGAAAGGGCTTTTACCTCTACCTGAGGAAAACCAGAAAGACTCCTACCATGTGAGCTGGCTCTTAAGGGATAAATCAGATTTTGCCAGGTGGATGAAAGAAAAAAAGACGCCACCTGGACAGGAAACAGCATGAGTACAAAGGTAGGAAGGTGTGGAGTCTACCCTGTGGGGCTTGTGTGTCTGAAAAAGAGGAGAGGGTCATGTTCCGGTCATGGAGTGGAGTTATGTGGCTACAAGCCCTCAGCAGGGGATATACCCCTGTCATCCAAAACACAGGAGGGTTCCTGAACTTCCCCGCCTCTCTCTCCCTATCCATGAAAAGGGCAACAACAGGGTTGGCTGGTCAAACTTCTGTCCATACCACCTGCCGCCTCCGATTCATCAACACGCCTTTTGCCTCTCCTAATGAGAGATTAGGATTAGGACGCCTCCCCCGCCTCCTGCTTCCTTTGCCAGGCTCTTGGGGAGCTGGGCTGCCTGGAACAGCAGTCTGCGGGGTTAGCCGTTTCCCCCACCAGGTCACATGTACACATCCATGGACAGCCCCTAATATTCATGAGAACAAGAGTGTGTGACCTGTGAGCTTGGGAAAGCAAGAGGAGAAGTTGGGAGAGGGTCTAGGATGCGAGCCTGAGTCTGGATGTGGCTCCTGCAGGGAGTGGGGGGAGCAGGTGTGTATGCATTGGGGAGGAACGATGGTGGGGGTGTGGCAACCAAGCAGGGATGGCAGGAGCGTATGTCTCTGGGAAAGCAGGGAGGGAGAGTGGGAGCAGGCGGCAGGGAGAGTGAATGAACACTCGCATTTGCATTTCTCCCAGGAATAAATGTGTGGGGTGGGAGCGGGGAGATTGCCTAGGCTGGCTGTGGGGGTGGAGGGCCTCTGGCTGCAAAGCCCAGGCTGTGGAGAGAAGATGGAGGCATACAGCCCGCCAAATGTGCCATCTGCCTACTGGATGCCCTCCAGGATCCAGGGCTATCTTTCCCTCCACCCAGCAGAGCCTCTGATGGTGTCTTTTCCCAGGTGGGGGGCTGCCAGGGGTACAAGAACATGCTCTTCTCTGGTGACCAGGCTCTTGGGCTGAGGGAAGCCCCCTCTTGCACCAGCTGGAGCCCAGGAACACAGCAAGCCAAATGCTGCCCTCGAGGGCCAGGCTATTAGATCTGCCTCTTCACCTGGTGTGCCAGGGCAGAGATGAGTTCTGCCAAGCCATCTGCTCTGAGGGCCTGGAAACACACGGATTCAGGACTCCTGGGGAAGAAGGTGGAAATGGGGAGGGTCATATGAACTAAAGAAAACTCTCTGACCAGGGAGTCAAAAAATCTAGGCATTGGCCCTGGCTCTGTGTGACCTAGGGCAAGTCACGTCACCTCTTTGGGCCTCACTCTCCTCATCTATACCACAAGGACTTGGACTAGATCTTTAGGGG
The DNA here is from genome assembly GCF_000001405.40 of Homo sapiens. Classification (NCBI taxonomy): domain Eukaryota; kingdom Metazoa; phylum Chordata; class Mammalia; order Primates; family Hominidae; genus Homo; species Homo sapiens. Next base: position 203,492,842 of record NC_000001.11, read on the forward strand.
GCCTCACAGCTGGAATTCAGTATCTGGTTGGTGGAAAGGAGTAGGGAACAAGGAGAGTCACTGAGAAACCTGGGTGGGCGCCAGGGCACAGGCTGGCAGAAGCTGGGGAAGACTCCTTAGCCACCCCACCTCTGCCTTCAGCAAGGACTTGCTCGGCAGCCTGCTCGAGGCACCAAGGAAAGGGGAGTGTTTCCAGATGAATGCCGTTGGCCCTCTGTATCTGTGGGTTCCACATCCGTGGATTCAACCAACCACAGATTGAAAATATTCAGAAAAAAAAAAAATTCACAACGTTCCAAAAAGGAAAACTTGAATTTGCTGTGTGCCAGTACTATGTGGAATCCATGTGAATGGAGTGAGGTGTAAGCATTGTGTTTGGTGTTATAGGTAATCTAGAGATGATTTGAAGTACACAGGAGGATGTGCGTAGGTTATGTGCAAATTCACCATTTTATATAAAAGACCTCAGCATATGTGGATTTGGTATCCACTGGACGTGCAGAACCAATCCCCCATGGTTACTGAGGGACGACTGTACATCTCTGAGGGTGCGGGAGAGGATACTTCCCAGGCCCCCGAGACCCTACACAATGTCTACTGGTGTTTATGATCCTTTCTAGGGCCCACCTCCCAATTTCCATTTGGTTTCCTCCTAGCAGATTTAGAGAATTTCCCGTATCCTCATGATCATCATCTGTGAACTTGAAGTTGGCTTTCAAATCCGATCTCATCCCCCATACACCTTCTCTTTGAACTACCTAGGCCTGCAGCTCCTGTCTCTGGTGATTTTATTCAATTATGGTCTCTGTGCTGGCGCTCTAGGTGAGGGTGAAGTGCCTCATTTCCACCTATTTTTATCTTTGGATTCTGGCTATGAAGCTGAAGCCTTGTCACTCTCTGGCTGGAGAAAGAAGCTGCAAAGACAAGCTCTATCTCTCCATATCCCCCGACTCCAGCCTTCTCTGAGGACTCAGAATCTGAGGGATGGGGCCCCTTCCTTGCAGGGGATGGCACTCCCTGTTCCTCAAAGATGTGGCCTTATCAGGAGAGTGGACAAGGAAAAGAAAGAAGGAGCTGACAGAGTAAGAGGAGAGAGAGCAGGAGCTGGAGGTGGGGGGTGAAGCGGAAGGTGGGGGGAGAATTCTCTTTTGTCAAATACAGGAATGGGGCAGGGGACCCCCTGAGGAAAGAGGAGGGGAAACAGCTGGACATCAGAAGGAATGAGAAGTCTGATTGGTCGCAGGCCTGGCCAACTCCTTGCCCTCCCCCGGGCACCACTGTCTAACCCAAGCCCCAGTTCAGACAGCCTCCACCAGAGTCCCCACCTTTCTGGAAGCTGCAGGGCTCTCCATCCAGGATCCAGAAGCATTGAAGGGGTAAGGCTCAAGGTTGAGGCCTCTGGCCATCGGTGCGCAAATGAGGGCAAAGTGTTTGGCTGGGGCAGGGGATTGGGAAGGGAAAATGAAGAGAGTTTAGGCCTCTGGCCAAAGAAGTTGGACAAGACTTTTGGGTGGGCACTAAACTCTCTTAGAAAAATTTTTTTTGAGATTATGTAATTCGTTTGGGGTGAGGTATGGGAGGTAAGGTGAAGAAACACCTCTTGCTACTGCTAGAGGCTTGCCCCCTTGCCCAGCTAAAATTAAGAAAGGGTGGGGAGGTTAACTGGGCATGGTAACACACGCCTGTAGTCCCAGCTACTTGGGAGGCTGAGGCAGGAGGACTGCCTGAGCCCAGGAGGTTAAGGCTTCAGTGAGCTGAGATCATGCCATAACACTCCAGGCTGGGCAACAGAGTGACACCGTCTTAAAAATAGAAAATAAAATAAAAATTAAAAGATAAAAAAAATTTTAAAAGAAAGAAAGAGGGAGAGTCTACTAGAAACTTGTGCAGCTAGCTTTGGGGAGGGCTGTGTTAAGCCTACACTGGGTATGACTGTTGTATACACTTATGCCTGGATACAAAACCACACCACATGCATTTCCTGACCCGTCTATACATATACGAACTACATGAACATTTGTACTCACATGCATATCACATACATACGCAGGCATCTGTGTGCACACACACACAAATATACACAGGTATCTAAGGAAATTTCCAGATGCGTACACACTCATGCAATCACACACAAAGAACTCTTTTATCTGTAATAATCTGTTTCTAAAAAGCTGCATTTAGAAGTATATTTCATAAACTAACATTCTTTTTTACATTGTATGTTTCATTGTAAGTCCATGTCTCCTAAAGAGACTAGGTGCTCCTAGGAAGGGCTGTGCCTCATTCATTCTGTACCCACAGAGACAAGTCCTGTGCCTGGAACTCAATAGACACCCATAAATGTTTGTTGAGCAAATGCATGAATGGATGATCTTTATAAAAAACCACAAGAGTCAACTGGGCGCGGTGGCTCACACCTGTAATTCCAGCACTTTGGGAAGCCAGGGTGGGTGGATCACCTAAGGTCAGGAGTTCGACACCAGCCTGGCCAATATGGTGAAACCCCTTCTCTACTAAAAATACAAAAATTAGCCAGGCATGGTGGGTGCCTGTAATCCCAGCTACTCAGGAGGCTGAGGCAGGAGATTCGCTTGAACCCAGAAGGCGGAGGTTGCAGTGAGCCAAGATCGCACCACTGCACTCCAGCCCGGGAAACAAGAATGAAACTTCGTCTCAAAAAAACAAACAAACAAAAAGACCCCATAAGATTATTTGATGTTGACATTCTCTAAATCGAGCTTAGTGACTAGCAGTCATGTTCTGAGCATGGGGTTGTTTAAGAGAGGACATCTGTGTGCATGCACCAGTGTGTGCCTCGTTTGTAAACAAGGGGACTCTTGTGAATGTGTCTGTGTTGAGATGTGTCTGCACATGCCTCTGTGAGTGAATATCAGTGTTTGGGTGAGCGTGTAAAAACACTCAAGTGGGGCGGTGGAGGGAGGGGGCTGCTAGGAGATACCCCCCAAGACATAGTCCCAGCTGGTAGGGAATTTGTGCATGTGATGAGAGCACTGAGTCTGCAAGTGTGGGGGTGGGAAGTGGAGTAAATCTGCGAGCCATTCCCACAACACTCTGGAGAGCCTGTCCCTCAGATCGCTGCCCTTCCTCGTGCCCACTTGCCAGGACCAGCCGCTGAAGGGATTCTCAGTCCCATCTGACTCCCCATGAGGCTCCTGGCTTTCCTGAGTCTGCTGGCCTTGGTGCTGCAGGAGACAGGGACAGCTTCTCTCCCAAGGAAGGAGAGGAAGAGGAGAGAGGAGCAGATGCCCAGGGAAGGCGATTCCTTTGAAGTTCTGCCTCTGCGGAATGATGTCCTGAACCCAGACAACTATGGTGAAGTCATTGACCTGAGCAACTATGAGGAGCTCACAGATTATGGGGACCAACTCCCCGAGGTGAGGGACACAGCAGACCAACTACATTCCCTGCATGACACTGGGAGTCAGAGGCCAGGGCCCTCCCATCTGCCCCAAAGTGCGGGTGTCTCCAGCCTCCACCTCTTTCTCTGTGAGGTGGAAATTCTTATCCCTCCATAGGGACTTGTCACTTAGATGATACTAAGAAACAGGACACAAACCTGGGACTTCTCCTTCTTCAAAACTCATACTTGCCTCCCCCTGCCAAAGCTATGTCTCACTGGGGGAGGGGTTCGCAATGTCCTCATCATATTCTCTAGGAAATAAAAGTGCCACATCCCCCATCTCTTTTCTGAAACTGTCCTCCAGTCTGAAGTTCTTTCCCAGGTCCTCTTGGCCTTCACTGCAGCAGCGTGGGGTGCAAGCCCAGAAGCCCCTACTCAATTGTGCGTGAGCCTGGTCGGTGTGGAGCAGGGGAAGAGTGCCGGCCTGGGAAATCGGGAGAGCAGGTTTCGTCTCTGCCTTGACCACCTGCTGGCTCTTTGATCCTCATCCCTCTCCTCTCTGGGCCCCAGTTTCTTCATCCATAGGATGGACATGCTGGACCTGATGCTCTGTCAGGTCCCCTTTTTGCACAGTCTTTCTGCTATCCTTCCCTCCTCCTCCTCCACAGTGACTCTTTGCTGGTTTGAAATCCATCACTGAGGTTCCCAGAGTCCAAAGTTAAGTCCCTTTTGTGCAAAAGCTGGGCTACTGTGTACTCTGTGCTACATCTCCAGGTTAAGGTGACTAGCCTCGCTCCTGCAACCAGCATCAGTCCCGCCAAGAGCACTACGGCTCCAGGGACACCCTCGTCAAACCCCACGATGACCAGACCTACTACAGCAGGGCTGCTACTGAGTTCCCAGCCCAACCATGGTAAGTGCACAGTCACATGGTCGCAATATCCCTAGGTCATAGGCCAAGCAGCTATGACCCAGCACCAGGGGGTACCAAAGTGGAACGTGGTTGGGGTTGGGGCATGGAGGGTCAGGGCTACCCTTACTAGCAGGGAGAGAAGGGGAAATAGCCACAGTAAGAACAGGAAAAAAGAAATCAAAGACTGGCACTGGCTGTCCCTAATACTTTTGCCTGAATGTACAAGTTGAGTAAGAAGCAAAGAAATGCAAGAACTCCCTTATGCCCTAGCAAAGCCACCCTGCCTTAATTAATAGCATGACGGGGGAAGCAGGTTGAGTGGTAATTAGATTACAGACAATTAAAAGCCTGTAGAGAAGAATAACTAACTTTGTGGCTGTCACTTGGCATGGGAGCAAATGAAGCAGTCACACTGCTTTTCAGCTTCAAAGTCCCTCCTCAGCAGCTCTCTTTCCTTCCCTGATGCCCTCCTGGAGGCTGCGGCTGGCATCCCTGGCAGTGAGGCCTCAGCAATCTGCTGGAAATCAGAAGTGGGCAGAGGAGGGGTGAAGTTCATTCTGGACCTGCTTGCCCGCGGTTTCCCTGTTCTCTTCTCGGGATGTTTGCCTTGGGTGGACCTGGGGTATTGGGGCATTGGCAGGAAAACCATTCAGTCAGGAATCCATGACCTCTCAGAGCTACAGTCTCAGGCTTAAAGAGGCCATAAAGGGCCTCAGCTGAATCCACCATTCAAAGCCTCAGGATAAGAAAGATGCTGGGGCCCCTCTGCTCTACCCACTCCTCCTGGTCACTGCTGGCAGAGAAGAGCTCCTTAATCTGGGGGCTGTGTCACTGCTACCAGAGTTATTCCTTGAGTTGAGCTAAACTGGTCTCTCAGTAATCTCTGTGCCTTGTGATAGCAAGTGACAGAAACCACCTGCGCTATTCAGTTGTATGATCCAATAAAGTCTCCCCAACTACTTGGGGTGGCTGACCTGGCCTAACCTCATTACCCGTGGGTACAGAGACAGGGTCATGGACAGAACAGGAGAGGGCTGCTTCCCAAAGAAAAATTGGCATGCTGATGCCATAAGAAGGGGAAGTGGTTGCTGGGTAGGCACTGTACTCCACCTTGGTTCTATTGTGCTTCTTGGAGCCACACAGAACATGTCTAATTTCTCTTCCCCAAGGCAGATGGCAGAGCCAGCAACCACTGGCCATCCCACTTAATTCTGGCTTTACTTTTTGGGACCAGAGAGGAATCCTGTGGAAAAGAGACCAAGGGATTTCCTAGAAACACCCACATAGGCCCAGGAAAATGTACACAGAACCAGGGTCTGCTGAAAGTATAAATGGGCTTGGGCTGGGTAGTAACTGAGGATGGACCTGCCTCTCTGGGGTAGAGGACAGAGTGACAGGGGAGCAGACAACAGCACCGTGTACATGGTGCCCGTCAGTTCTGGGCAGCAACCCATAGGCTATCAAAAAGGCACAGATGGCCATGGTTCAGACACTCCCTGGGGCGAGGGCCATTGGCCCCAGAGGCTAAAGAGATCTCCCTTTGTTCTGTCTTCCACCTGGGCCAGGTCTGCCCACCTGCCTGGTCTGCGTGTGCCTCGGTTCCTCTGTGTATTGCGATGACATTGACCTAGAGGACATTCCTCCTCTTCCTCGGAGGACTGCCTACCTGTATGCACGCTTCAACCGCATCAGCCGTATCAGGGCCGAAGACTTCAAAGGGCTGAGTATGTAATGCCCTGGGAAAAGAGGAGTGGGGGCAGGCATATGCAGCCACCCTGCCACTAGGACAGTCACCAACACTGTGTTAGTGCCCCCCGTGTTAGCTCTTTCCTGTTGGCTCTCAGTCCCTCCAGCTGTCAAAGGGAAATAGCCCGAAGTCTCTAGAAGTCCCTTCCTTGAAGTATTTAGATGGTGGAAGGGACCTGTTTTTATTTGTTCTCCAAAAACGTCTGGGAAGCTGGGAGGGGAAGGTATGATCTGCCAGCATCTTCAGGATGTCCCAGCAGTGACAGCTGTGTGATCAGCTGGCCTCTGGGCAGGACAGTCTTAAATCTACTCTCCATGGCACTGATGCTGTTTACAGGGTTGTTTGTGTGCTTTTAGCTTCTTTATGCCTTATGCCCTGCTTGAGACAGGAGACCTGGGTTCTGATCCAAATTCTACCACTAATTACCCAGAGCCTTTCCAGGCCTCAGTGCCCTTTTGTTTAGACTCACAAGTGGAGGTGAGGTGGATCCAGGGATTCCTGGGCCTGTTGGTTCTCGCTTTCAAGAGGCTTCTTCTAAAGGATGCAAGATGGACGGCCACTGCACAGGACAAAACTCCAGGGAGGGGCACTGAGGCATCCGAGGGCTTTTCCAAGGAGTCCTGGTTTATGTTATTTCCTCTGGTTTGGGCCTAGTGCAGGTGGAGAGCTGGTTAGAATCCCCTCATCTTGAGAGGGATGGAGCAAGGTGTGGAGACAGCTCCAACCTGGACAAGGAAAGATAGTGTGTTCTGGTTTCTCTCTTTGTTCTCCCCTAACCTCTCTCAGCAAAGTTGAAGAGGATTGACCTCTCCAACAACCTCATTTCCTCCATCGATAATGATGCCTTCCGCCTGCTACATGCCCTCCAGGACCTCATCCTCCCAGAGAACCAGTTGGAAGCTCTGCCCGTGCTGCCCAGTGGCATTGAGTTCCTGGATGTCCGCCTAAATCGGCTCCAGAGCTCGGGGATACAGCCTGCAGCCTTCAGGGTGAGTCAAGGCCTTAGATCCACTATCTATCACCTCCACCACCCACCTCTACCACCACCCACCTCCACCACCTACCTCCACCACTCACCTCCACCACCACCCACCTCCACCTCTACCACCCACCTCCACCATCACCCACCTCTACCACCACCCACTTCCACACCTACCACCCACCTACCACCGCCACCACCACCACCTACCTCCACCACCACCACCTCCACCTACCACCACCACCACCACCCACCTCCACCACCTACCACTGCCACCACCACCACCTACCTCCACCACCACCACCCACCTCCACCTCCACCACCCACCTCCACCACCACCACCACCACCACCACCACCACCACCACCCACCTCCACCACCACCTACCACCCACCTCCACACACCACCACCCACCTCCACACACCACCACCCACCTCCACCTCCACCACCCACCTCCACCACCACCACCCACCTCCACCTCTACCACCCACCTCCACCTCTATCACCACCCACCTCCACCTCTGCCACCTCTACCACCCACCTGCACCTCCACCTCCACCACCATCACCCGCCTCCACTGCCACCACCACCACCCACCTCCACTCCTACCACCCATATCCACCACCACCACCCACCTGCACTACCCACCTGTACCACCCACCTGCACTCCCACCATGCACCTCCATCACCACCACCCACTGTTTTCATCCTTTTAAATTTGCTATTTATTGATTCTTTCAGTTGCAAGAAACTGATTCTGACCCAAGAAAAGGCCATCCCAAGAACCTCCATGAATGGAAACAGTACTATCAGGCCTCATGGGCCTGTTACTGGCTGAGCATCCCTAACCTGAAATCCAGAATCCAAAAGCCTCCAATAAGCATTTCTTTTGAGCACTTTGTTGATGCTCAAAAAGTTTTGGGTTTTGGAGCATTTTGGATTTTGGATATTCAGATTTGGGATACTCAACCTGTACTGGGAATGGGGGTTCAGAAGTCCAGGTGGACAACTCTCTCTCCCTCTTTGGGACACACGGCCTCTTGTCTTGACTTCTTTCTGTGCATCTGCTCAATTCACCTGTTTGCTCACCAGCATCCTCTGCACACTCACAGGTTCTGCTCCCTGAAAACATACACGTGAGTTTGGCTTGGAATAGTGCTGATTCTGGCCCTAATTCTACGTATCCTTTTATTTCCAAAACCCTTCAGTAAGTGACTGATGAATCATTGTCTTTCTATGATCAAATACTCAAGAGAGACTTTTGTTGTTGTTGTTTTGAGACAGATCTGGCTCTGTCGCCCAGGCTGGAATGCAGTGTGGCATGATCTCGGCTCACTGCAACCTCTGCCTCCCGTGTTCAAGCAATTCTCCTGCCTCGGCCTCCTGAGTAGCTGGGATTACAGGCATGCACCACCATGCCCGGCTAGTTTTTGTATTTTTAGTAGAGATGGGGTTTCACCATGTTGGCCAGGCTGGTCTCGAACTCCTGACCTCAGGTGATCTGCCCACCTTGGCCTCCCGAAGAGCTGGGATGGCAAGCATGAGCCACTGTGCCTGTCCAAGAGAGACTATTTGATTGGTCATTGGCTGGCCAGTTTTGATGGGAAGGGCTAAGTTGTATGACACAAATATGCCCACTGGGGCAGCCCATTCAATAGGGCTAGGAAGAGCCCCGGGTGTGTTCGCCCATGTGCTCTCTCTCTTTCTCTCTCTGTCTCTCAAGTAGTAGAATCTTTTACGCAATCTAATTCCTATTTAGAAGCATCAAATAAACCAAATTAGACTTGCATTTTTGAAATAGGATGAGAGCACAGAGGCACACCTGCTTGCTCTCTTGCCCTGCCCTCCCCAGTGACTTCCACCCTCTCAGCCTTCTCCTGTCTGCAGTGGTCTTTGAGGGAGTTTTACAGAACAGCGTCACTACCACTGTTGTGGTGGAAGAGCACTAGACTGGGAATCAGAAGCCGGCCACGTGACCCCGGGCCTCAGTTTTTCGGTCTCAAAGAACGGGATTGCATGATCCCTGAAGTTCCCCACTGCTCAGCCTCAGCAACATGCCAGCTGTCTCCATATTAGGAGGCGCTGCTTTGCCTTGACTCAGAGCTGTTTTCTCAGCCCAGGATAAGGCCTGGGCTTTGGAGCCACAGAGACCTGGGTTTGTGCGAGAGTCTCCTGACCTCTCTGACATTGTTTTCTCATCTGCAAAATGAGGGTAATAATACCTGCTTGACACAGCTGCTGGAGGGTTAAATAAGATAGCATTTTACAAAGAGAACAGGAGGGTTAGATACGCATAGTAGATGCTCCATAAATGGTAACTATCATTTTTATTTGCTCCCTGAGCCCTGCTGAAGGCTTGTCTCTTCCCAAACGCTTCTCTGATTAACACTGTCTAATTCTGAGAGCACGGTCCCATGCACACACTGTGTACCTCTCTGTGCCTGAGGTTCTCATTCTGCTGGTCTGGCTGTCTCCCGAGTGTCTGCTCTGTACCTGCTCCTCACCCAGAGCATGGACGATAAACAGAGCATGGAGGATGGAAGTTAGATACCAGGGAGCAGGTCATGCCAGTGAGAGGCATGAGGCTTAGGCAGCTGTGGGGTCTCCTTTATTGGAGGGTTTATTGGAGACATTGATTGGGAGGTCTTGTTTAGATAATTGTCCATGGCCCCAGGTTTAGCATTTGGAGACTTGTCATTGGGGAAAGTCCTTTCTGATAGCAGAGAAGTTGAGGCAAAGCGGAAATGTCCCCTGGTCCTCCCTTCTACCCTGTCCCTGCCCCTCCCCTGCACTACCCAGTGTCATTACCAGCTGATTAGCTCTTTCCTACTTCAGTGGCTGGCACCTCAATGGTAGCAGCTTTCCTCCTGCATCCAGTTGGAGTTAGTGTCTGTAAGATCCTTAAAGACCTGGGCAACCCCTGTGGCACCCAGCACAGAGCTTGGCGCATGGCTGAGGCTAAGTGAGCCCTGAGTGAACAAATGGGGCCACCTGTCTCTGGTCTCATAGCCCTCCTCACTGCCAGGGTCCAACAGGACCCACCAGCCTCCTACACTCTTTGCTTTCTCCACAGGCAATGGAGAAGCTGCAGTTCCTTTACCTGTCAGACAACCTGCTGGATTCTATCCCGGGGCCTTTGCCCCTGAGCCTGCGCTCTGTACACCTGCAGGTAAGGAGCACCACCCAGAGCAAGGGTGATAAACAGCGTGGAGGATGGAAGTTAGATACCAGGAGCAGGTCGTGGCAGAGAGAGGCATGAGGCTTAGGCAGCTGTGGGGTCTCCTTGATTGGAGGGTTTATTGGAGACAAGGATTGGGAGGTCTTGTCTAAATAGTTGTCCATGACCCCAGTTTGATTTTCTCCATTTTTTCTTTTTAAAACACTTTCTCTCCCTCCACCATTTTATTTTATCTCACCCAACTGCTTTTCCTTCTCTCTTTTTCCTACCCTCTGTCTCTTTCCTTCCCTTCAGTCCTTCCCTCCTTCCTCTCTCCCCTTCTCTTCCTCTTCATCTGTGCCCTCTCTCTCCATCCATCCCCCCTGGGGCTCCTCTTCTCACCCTTGTTGTGTGGCTTTGGCCCTAGATGCTTCAGTTTCTCCAGTTGCACCAGAGCAGGCAGAGCTGGTAGGGACAGCTGATGTGAGCCTTTGGTGCTGCTTAAGGGGCAGAGCCTCTTGGTGAGGCTCAGCTGGTATGTGTTCTTCCCAGAATAACCTGATAGAGACCATGCAGAGAGACGTCTTCTGTGACCCCGAGGAGCACAAACACACCCGCAGGCAGCTGGAAGACATCCGCCTGGATGGCAACCCCATCAACCTCAGCCTCTTCCCCAGCGCCTACTTCTGCCTGCCTCGGCTCCCCATCGGCCGCTTCACGTAGCTCGGAGCCCTTCCACTCCTCCCAGGTAAGAACCCTCCAAGGACCATGCAGGCATGGGCCTCCAGCCATAAAGCCCAATTCCTTATCTTTAAACGGTGATCTTTAGCCCAGGCATTAATCAACCTCTCGATCCCTTGCAAATATCACACACATGCACACGCATGCATACACACACACACTCATGTACTGAAATGTTTTTCAGTAGCCAAATTTGCATTTCTCCATCTTCTTTCCTTGACACTTATGGCTCCTGGCTCAGAAAATAGCAGTGTCTGCAGTGGAGCTCTTTTCCATATTCCCCATCTCTTGCACCCACACAGAATGCCAAGAAAGCTGTGGGAGAGGAAGAGGGGGAGGAGGAAGAGAAGGAAGAAGTGGGGAAGAGGAGAGCAGTGATGTGCTGGAGCCAGCTCTTACTACTTGCAGGAACCGATTACTAAATTTTCCAGAATTTTGCAAGTCAGTTGTTAAACACAGCCATTATGAAAAATTAAATTATATAAACTCACAATTAAATATATTATATTGAAAACAAATGTAATAATTATTCAAAAATCATCATTTTCAATTAGTTTACTATATTTCACTATTAATCGTGCCCTTGAAGTTATTTCTGTCCATGGTGTCTGTATGGGGGAAACTCTAGATAATGGTGTGCTACTGGGCATCTCTTCCAGCTCCTCATTCAGTGACATCATATCGGTGGTTTAAAATGGGCCATGGTAGGGGTATTTACACTACAGAAATTGGTAAACACTACAAATTGGGATTTCCTTTTTTGAGAGCTGACTGTAAAATGTTTGCCTGCATACCACTGAGGAGAAAGAATAGCTACTTAAACCAGCTCCCCCTACCTGCACACCATCCTACTGGGGCTGAGGTAGGTAAGATTTCTATAGGGCATTCCTTCATTTCCTGCTCTTCTGAGGCCAGGGCCTCCTGTTAGATTTGGAGGGAGCCATTCATAAGGATGGAGAACTGACACGAATCTTCACCCAGATGCGCTTCTTGTAGCACTTACCTACTCCCTGGCTCGCTGGCCAGTCTCTTGAGCGTGGTTGGCTCAGCCAGCTGGGCTGGTTCCTGGCTACTGGGGTTTCCATCCTTCCCATTCGCTCCTACATGTTCGACCACCAGAGGGCAGCCTTGTGCAAAGATAAATAAAAATAGCAATTACTCACCTTCTGCCTTTTGGATCCTGGGCAGGGGCTACTATGCTGGAAGGATGGGAGGAAGGGCAACTATCATGTAGCCAGTGATTTGTTCCTTGAGTTAGAAGGGAGAGGAGGAGATGCCACCCTTCTCCTGACCGTTATAAGGAGGCTTTGGGCAAGGGGTATGTGATGGACGGGCTCTTGGCCTCAGGCCTCATGCTAAGGCATGAGAGAGGGATGAGGCAGGGAATTCACTTACTCACGCAGGAGGATCTTATGGAGCACCCACTGCTACGTGGTGATAAGATGGTACGCAACAGAAACATATTCCTTTTCCTCAGAGAGCTTAGAATTTAGTGCAAAAGACAGGTGTGAAACAAATAAGCACACCAATAACCATGCTATTCAACTCATAAAAGTGCTGTAAAGGGTATGTAGAGAATGCTATGAATGCTTACAAGAGGAGGACCCAACTTAGGGGTCCAGAAGATCTTGCACAACTGATGTTTAAGCTGAAACCCAAAGGAGTGGGAGTTAGCCAGGCAATGAGTTGCCAAGGCAACTATTCAAGGTCCCTGGTGGTCCCCGAGTCTGGAGGGACAGGTGTTTCTTGTGGGCCACGTGGAAAGGAATCCATGTATCTGCCTCCCCCCACCTCACTGTGCACTTGGATCCTCACGGCGGTCCTGTAAACAGCCAAGTCAGAAATTATTATTCACATTCTTCAGATGGAGAGATGGAGAACTAGAGACCAATCACTGACCCCAGTTCACACGGGTGACTCAGGGTTGGACCAGGACTCAACACACAGGCTACAGACTGGCAGTGGGAAGTCTTGAAGGTGGTGGGAGGTGACTTCATGCCGTCATGGTACCTACCCTCACTCCCAGGGAATCTAGGATTCCAGCGCACCTGGCCCCAGGGAAGGACGGGGAAGGCAGTGAGCCAAGGGCCCCTTGACTTTCAGAGCAGCAGAGCTGTCACTGGCCCTTCCTCTCCTTTGCCTCCTCTTTCTGTCTTCCAAGAGTTTGTTACAGCGGAATCTCTCTCTCTGTGTGTGTCTCTCTCTCTCTCAGAGTGTGTGTGTGTGTGTGTGTTTTCTGTCTCTCTCTCCCTTTCTCTGTTTCATCCACCAATCCTATCCCCTTCCATATCCAATATCCCGTTCCATATCCTGCTTTATTGGATTATGACAAGGCCTAGGCATGCAACAGCTGAAAGCCTAAAGTTCTCCAAATGCAAGAGATCCTGGATTGAGGAATCCAATTTTCTTTTTTCTTTTTTTTTTTTTTTTGAGATGGAGTTTCACTCTTGTTGCCCAGGGGGGAGTGCAATGGCGTGATCTTGGCTCACCACAACCTCTGCCTCCCGGATTCAAGCAATTCTCCTGCCTCAGCCTCCTGAGTAGCTGGGATTACAGGCATGCGCCACCACACCTGGCTAATTTTGTACTTTAAGTAGAGACAGGGTTTCTCCATGTTGGTCAGGCTGGTCTCGAACTCCTGACCTCGGGTGATCTGCCCGCCTCGGCCTCCCGAAGTGTTGGAATTACAGGTGTGAGCCACCACTCCTGGCCGAGGAATCCAATTTTTTCAAAAATCTAATTAAAAAAAAAAAAGGTTTTCCAGAACTGGGGCTTTTGGGTACTGGAAGCCACATCATTCCCACATGCCTCTCGGTTACTCTTTGCTGAATACAGAAAGTCACCTGGCTCCTGCTCTATTGTGGGACAGGAGATCTAACAATCCCTGGACTCCTGGAGTTTGCCAGACCTATAATAGAAGCTTTTCTGTGCATCAACTCATTTAATTCCAGCAAAAACCCTAGTGAGTAGGGATGCTCATCTTCAGACTGCAGATGAAGAAACAGGCTTCTGAAAGGGGAGAGGCCCAAACCCAAACAGCAAGAGAGTGGCAGAGCTAGGATTCAATCCGGGGTCCATCCAGCCAGAGTCTGAAGTCCTGCTCTCTGCCACACTCCAATGCAGACACCATTTTCAAGTTCCAATTAAAGGAGGCCAGCTCCAGAGAGTTTCTTTCCCCAGGCCATTGCTGCTCCGGGAGGGGTTCCCCAAGGGCCGCTGCCTCTGCAGCTGTCTCTTGGCTAATCCCCCATTTTTGGCTAGGGAAGCCCAAGGAATAGAAAGAATGCCCTTGTTGTCTGTCTCCCTGAAGAAATTCTAAACAGAGCATCTGTCCCTCTGCACCAGGGAGGGAAGGAGGAAGAGAGAGATGGGGAGAGACAGAGAGAGAGAAACCCCACAGCTGTTCCTTCTCGATCTTGATGTGAACAGCTAGGCCTCCTGTTTCTCAGGTACCTAAAGGGGTTAGGGTTGGGCAACTGGCAGGGAAGGCAGAGAGCACCTCTTTAGCCAGAGTGAGGCCCTCCTGTCTTGTAGAATGGTAAAGATGGAGAGAATGACACAGAGCAGATGCAAGCCAGCCCTGAGAGAGTACAAAGGAAGGGAGTGAGAGGAGGGGCTGTGGGGTCCAGCCAGGCACGGCAGCTAGCTTGAGGGCCTCATGCCAGCCGGCAGTCTAGGTTTGCATCACATCCACCTCCTCCAACACCAGACTTTCCTAACCTCACTCATCCAGGTCCTTTGTGGCCCAGCAGCAACTCATATTTGACCTTGGCAAGGGCACTTGCTCTGGGCGGCACCCTGGTGACTATTCTGCCAGCTCTGTGTGAAGGGGAGTGCCTCCCTCCTCTGGGGCACCCTGTGGCCTTCAGGAGGGTCTTGCCCTAACCTGTCCTATGAGTATCAGCGGGAGGAGGTCAAGGGGAAGAGGCCAGGGCCCCTCCTCTCCGTGAGAGAAAGGATGAGTTTGCAATGACCTCCCCCTCTGCCTGCCCCATTCTCAGCTCCAGGGTCCTGTTTTTCCAAAGGTTACCCAGCAAGGCCTAGGGCCAGAGGAGGCTCGTGGAGAAGGGAGGGTGGGAGGGGCTGCTGGAGAGGCTGGAGCTAAGTCTGTTTTAGGAGCCAAGGCCATTTCCCCACCCTGACCTTGCCTGGACTCCCTTCCTGCTTCCTTTTCTCTTTTGTCTCTTCCCTGGGAATAGTAATCTCTTACATTTCTGCTGTCAGTTTGCACTTCAGCAAGCTCTTTTACATATGGGACCTAATTTGGCAGTCCTAACAACTCTGTGAGGAAGGAATTATTATCCCTGCTTTTACTGATGAAAATGAGAGGCTAAGTACTTTGTCCCAGAGAAAGATGACTTAACATAAACAATCTATAACAGAAAAAGAAAGATGGGCATGGGGGTGGAGCTGCAGTGACAGCCATCACTTCTTGGGAATTCT
Source organism: Homo sapiens (assembly GCF_000001405.40). Classification (NCBI taxonomy): domain Eukaryota; kingdom Metazoa; phylum Chordata; class Mammalia; order Primates; family Hominidae; genus Homo; species Homo sapiens. The sequence goes on from NC_000001.11 coordinate 203,508,182, forward strand.
TGTCAGAGAAATGGGAAATCCCATCTCCAGCTCCTGGAGCAGAGGATGGGTGCCCCTACCACGTCCCCCCAAAATGCTTTGAAAAGCAAGGACTCGGGAGGGCATCACCCAGGCTAGAAAAAGGGGGGCTGCCTATGGAGCTTGAGTCCAGGGCCTGCCCCCAGCAGGTTCAAGGCCTGTATCCTTAGGAAGCACATGAGGTAATGAAGGTCTCAGCTCAGGAGAACCTTGGGGCTCAAAGACACACGGCCCCCCATCTCTGCCGCACCCCTACATGCCTGTGTCTGTGTCCTCCTTCCTTCTGGCCAGGACAGAGGCAGACAGACCAGACGGGGAGGTGGCCCCGGCTCTCCCCACCCCCTCCCTGTCTAGCTGCCTCTCAGCTTTCTCCTCCCACCTCACCTGCCCCTCCCCTCTCCCCCACACTAGACACCAGCTCAATTTTGTCTCTCCTCTCTCTCAAGGTCATCTCTTGGACCAGCGGGCATCACATTCTCCAGCAGCCGCCATCTCACACGCCTCCCTCCTGTGGCCGCCGGCAGCATGGACAAAGGTCTCCATGCAGGGGGAGGAGGCCTGCTTCTTTCCCCACAGCTCTCACGTCTCCCTTCTCCCTGCGGGTGACAAAGAAGCCCAAGGACCACCTCCTTCCTGCCTCATTGTAATAAAATTCCCCACACTGAGGCCTTCTTGTCTTCAACCTGGCCTGTCCAGCCCTTCCAGATATGGCCAAACCCATGGCCTGGATGGGCTTGTGTACTTCCTTTCAAATGAGCCCACACAGAACGCCCTGCTCTCCCCTTCCTCCCCTCTGCACTCCTTCTGCCTCCTTTTTCTCTATTCTCCTTCTGTGCTCAGGCACCACAGCAAATAGCTTTTTGTTTCCTCCTGGCACTACCAGTCCCAGCCCTGCCTTCAGGAATTCTTTTCTCTCTCTCTCTCTTTTTTTAAAAGACTGGGTCTCACTAGGTTACCTAGGCTGGTTTTGAACTCTTGGGCTCAAATGTTCACCTGCCTTAGCCTCCTGAGTTCCTGGGATTACAGATGTGTGCCACTGTACCGACTCCAGAATTATTTTCTTTTGTGTCTAACACACAGTTCAGACACAGGAGGGAGTGGAAGTGTTTCTTGTTATGGCATCTGTAGAGGAACTGTGATGCAAGGGAGTGAGCACTGGAATGAGAATCTGAAGACCTGAGTTTGACTACCCTATATCCTGATCACACCAGCACCTCACTCTGTCCTGGCCCCTTGGAGTTCCCTCACTCCAAATCTGTTGCTCAAAGCATATCCAAGCCCAAGGGGTGTGGTGCCTATCCCTATCTTATTACATTTCTAGTCTAAGAACAAAGACCCAACCCTCTCCTACTGTTCCCAGTAGCACAGACTACCATTGACAAAGAGGTATCAAATGGTAAAAGGAGAAAAGGAAGGAAGTACAGAAAATACAGACACACAATCAGTCTAGTCTCACAAGTTGAGCTTTCTGAGCCCAAATCAACTATACCATGGCTTTAAAGCTTGCTTAGCTGCAGGCCTTCCTGACCCTTCTCTAGTCCATGCAGAAGAGAGAATAATCCAAGCTTTTCAGGCCCTTTCTGACCCATCCTGAAACCAAAGGTAACGACCTTTGAATTACACGTTGTCCATAATCAGTGTCCCCCAAGGATCACTGGGCAGTCTTAGGAGAGGTGCTTCCTCCCACAGAGAGGCCCCCTGCCTCCCAGGACAGGCTCCTGGAGCCCAACACCTGTGAGAGCCGCAGCACCTCTCTTGGAGATCTAAGAAATCCCTGAAGGAGGCTCGGCACAGTGGCTCACGTCTGTAATCCCAGCACTTTGGGAGGCCGAGCAGACAGATCACAAGGTCAGGAGTTCGAGACCAGTCTGACCAACATGGTGAAACCCCGTCTCTACTAAAAATACAAAAAATAGCCGGGTGTGGTGCTGTGCGCTATAGTCCCAGCTACTCAGGAGGCTGAGGCAGGAGAATTGCTTGAACCTGGGAGGTGGAGGTTGCAGTAAGCTGAGATTGCACCACTGCACTCCAGCCTGGTGACAGAGCGAGACTGTGTCTCAAAAAAAAACAAAAAAACAAAAAAAAAAAAGAAAGAAATCCCTGAAGGAGCCATGTCCTGGGAGACAGGCAACATGGCAGGTTTTAACCCTGCGGACATACAGTGGAAGATGAGCGCCTCTGCCCTTGAGGGAGTGTTGGAGGTGGAAGTGGGGGCATGAGAAACGGGGTGGGCAGAGAGGAGCAGGACCTCCCCCAGTGCATGAGGTCCTTGGTTCTAAATAATCCTGAAAAATACTAGCCCAGAAAGATGCAAACGGCCCCGATGCTGGGAATGTTCTGCAAAATAGGAAGGTGTTAAGCAGTTACCCAGATGTTTCAAGCTAAAGCATCCTGCAGAGGAGGAGGAAAAAAAAAAGTCATCTTTTGGGACTCAAGTCTTCCAAATCAGCTGTGTGCTTGGGTTGTAATCACCTTGCCAATGTAGATGCTGCTCCTTTGAAGAAGTAATCTGAAAATAGGGTCCTTCTTAATGTCAGCAGATCAGTACATTATTCCTGCAGAGATGATAGGAAATGAAGACAGGAAGCTGTCAGAAAGTCAATATTTCAAAGGACCAAAGAGTCCTCAGGGTCCTTTGGTCCATGCACCTGTGTCTAGGCAGGGCTTTACCTAGTGCAGATGGTGATCTTCTCTGGTTTACGCCAGGGCCAGAGGTGCAGGCTGCAGAAAGCACCTGCCACCATCTGTAGGACATCATGCTAGCCCTACACATTACACACATCATCACGTTTCATCTCCATCGTAGCCTGATGAGGTGGGCGCTACCCCAATTTTATAGAAGGCAGACTTTGGGAGGCCGAGGCGGGCAGATCACCTAAGCTCAGGAGTTCGAGACCAGCCTGGCCAACATGGTGAAACCCTGTCTCTACTAAAAATACAAATATTAGGCAGGTGTAGTGGTGGGCACCTGTAATCCCAGCTACTCAGAAGGCTGAGGCAGGAGAATTGCTTGAACCCGGAAGGCGGAGCTTGTGGTGAGCCCAGATCACGCCACTGCACTCCAGCCTGGGCGACAGAGTGAGACTCCATATCAAAAAAAAAAAAAAAAAAAAAAAAAAGAAGGCAGAGAGGTTAACTTTTGGTCCAAGGTCACACAGTGAGGAGTAAGAGGCAGACTAGATATTCAAATTTGACCTGAGTGCAAAGCCTGCTGGCCCTCTGGCCTTAGAACTGCGTGTCTGACACACCTGCTGAATCCATCTTGCCTCACTCACACTTCCTTGCTCATAGAACATACCCAATAAATCTTATGCCAAGCCAGCTCGCTCCATGGCACGGTGGGGAGGCAGACCTGCTACAGAAATCTGACCATGTAAATGGCTCCTTTTCTACCCCTCCTCTCCTGACGTTCCTAGTGGTGGCCCCTGCACACCTGGCTTTCTCCTCTAAGCCTCACCAGTCTGGATCTCCCTTCCCACACCCCCTCCCTTCCTATCTATTGTCTCTGAGCCCAACTTCTTGGCTCCTGTGCTCCTATTCATGGGATTTCTTTCCGCTTCTGTAACCCTGAGTACAATAGGCTCCTTCCTGCTTATTGGTAAACAGAGTCACAACAAGCCCGAGTGTGTTCTAGGCTAGGCTTGAGCTCTTGATCGAGACTCTCTCTCAGACTTTTGTTCCAGTTTTTTCTTTTTTTTTCTAATGGGGACATGAACTCCTAGAGAGGTGGCCTGGCACGCCCCTGCCTCTCTGCTGCTCCTCTCCATTCTAGAGCATTACAGTTTGAGAGGGTACAGCACCAAACTTACTGCCTCATTACTTCCATGAAGTCCAGGAACTGCCCACTTACCTCCTGTCTGGAATACCGGAAGAGAAGTGGGAAGGGGAAAGTGTTTGTTTGTTTGTTGCCATCACCAAGCAAGTTCCCACCACCCCACCCCCCAGGGGTGGGTGGTGTTGTCCAAGTAACTTCTATGACAGCCTGCAAAGAAGGAGAAATAGACAAGTTGGGGACATCAACACCCCAGAAGCAAGAGCACACACCCCACCCGGAACAGAGCAGGCAGCCACAGCTCCTACATCTCAGGGGCTGATGGGGATGTCCTAACTCTTAACCAAGGAGGTCCCCGGTCTCCCGTAAATCCTGAGTCTCAGTTTCCTGAGCAGGGTAGAGAAGGAACCCTTGAGTGTGCAAGGCCCCATCGACAAAGAGATTTACACAGATCCAGGCCCTGACTCAATCTTACCCACCTTTAGTGTCCTTCATTCATTTTGTTTTAATGATTCTTTATTAAGTGCTGAGCACCAGGGTCAGCATAGTAATAAAGACAGACAAGGTCCCTGGCCTCAGGGAGACAGGCAGGAACAGAATAAACAAATAATAACAGATAAATGATACAATTCAGACAGGGACAGGTGCTAGATGACAACAAAAGGAAGTGAACATGGCAGTGACTGGTAGTGGAGGCCAGTGACAGGAGATAGGGCAGTCAAGGAAGGCCTCCTGGGGGTAGTGATGGTTGACCTGAGACCTCTGTGATGAGAAGGCAGCAGCCATGCAAAATGTGAGGGGAACGTTTTCCAGGCAGTGGGGACAGAAGGCAAAAAGCACAAAGGAGAGAGGAGCCCATGTGAGCAGCAGAGAAGGCTTGGGGTGCGGTCAGAGGCAGCAGGGTCCTGGATAGGAAAGCCTCCGAGGATTCTATTGTGAGTGCACGGGATCCTTCTCTGAGAAACCCACACCCCTTGCCGCCTTCTCTGCCTGTTAGTCATGCTGAAAACACGAGGCAGGAGGGAAAGGCAGCATGATTCACAGACTGGAGGGTGACAGTGACCAGAGCAAGTTTAACCTTTTAAAGAGGAAGGATCTGTTGCTTGGCTACCAGGCAACAAGGTAACGAGTGGAAATGGGGAACAGAAATGGAGAAAGGAGACCTAGAAGAGGGGCGGTGGAGAAAGGGCAGGAACCCCTCATGGGCTGGAGCCTGCAGAGGGAGGGAGAAAGTGAGCAGCTTCCAGGAGGTGTGGGGCTTTGAAGAAAGGGAACAGAGAGCATTTGAAGGAAGTGTGGGTGTAATGCAGGCCACCGTCTCCAGAAGACTCAGGCAGGTGCTTCACTGTGTCTTAAAGCTTTTAGAGTCAGATACTGGGTTCTTTAGGGTGTGTCTCCAGCTTGAAGTGTGCCTCACAGTAGACGCAGGAAGGCCTTGTTTGATTTGGGTTACAGGAGAAGCAGAGGCCCCTGTTTGGGGCTGCACTGTGGAGACTGGAATTTGGGTAGAAGGGGCCACTGCTCCCGCTTGGATACTAACCAGCTGTGTGGCCTCAGGCATGTCTGCTTTCTTCTATCCCCTCCTCTGGCCAAGAGAAGAGAAGATTCAGTGATCTCCAAGGTGCAGTCTGCAGCTCCGTGATCTCACATGTTCTTTTGTTTTCTTAACAGGAAGGCTACTCAGAGAGGGGTCCCCACAAGGGATGAGGGACAAGTTGCCTAACCCTGTGGCAGACGGCTCTGCTTCTCTTCATGGTAAGAGAGGAAAGTTACAGGGGTATGCCCCCTGGCTCCCCGGCATCCACACGCTGCTCAGACCCAGCCACCCCAAAGACACCACCCCTCCCTCAGGGACGGGGACTCCCAGGAGCCTCCCTCAGTTTCCAACTTTAGGTGCCAGGAATGGGGCTGGGTTTCCCCCACCCTCCAGAAAGGTAGAGAAAGGAGCCAAGTGACCCTGTAAACACGTCCCCAAGGAAGAAGGCTGCGACTTCGGCGGATGAAGCAGCCCCCTGGAAAAAGAAGGGCCCCAGGTGACTGTGGCCCTGAGAGCCAAGAGTTCAGCAGCTCTGTCCCTCTTCATGCTGTGGCTCAGGGCAGAGCCAAGCCCCAGGTCCTGCCCGGCCCTCTCCTTCCCCATCTCCTTCCCTCTAGCTTGGCGGCGGGGGGGCCTGTGGATAGCTTCTGAAACACACTGCCTGCTTTCTCATGCAGGATAAATGCCTCCCTCCAGAACCTGCCCAGCTTTTCCACCGCATTAGTAATCAGCGCACAGAACAAGCGCTTTCTCTCCCTCTCCTCCCCCGCCTCAGTCTCTCTCTCTCTTTTTTTCTCTCCCCCAGCCCCCGCTTCCTTTACCTACTCCTGCCTCCTCCCCACCTATCAGAGTCACTGCCACCTCCCGGGAAGCTGAGAGGGTTTATCATCAAATCAGGCTTTGTCATAAAGAAAACAGATTTATTTTCCTCGCTTTGAGAAGGTGCTGACAGGAGCAGCGAGGGAAGGGGTGTTTTGTATATTGAAAGCCTTTCTCCCCCTGTGGCTAAATCTCGCGCTATTTTCTAATTTACCTCAAATGCTGCTCCTCCAGCCTGCCTCTCCATACGCCCACGCTTTCAACCCCTACCTGTGAGCCTCTGCCCACCGGACCGGCTCACTTCTAGTCATTCCTTCATTCAATGTATTTCCCTTGTTCAGGATGTAGAGGCCTTTCTTACATGCCAGGGACTCCAGGTGCTGGAGATGTGAGACATACAGCAGGGCAAGGAGGTGGGGAGGGAGTTGCACAGGTACAGGAATAGAACATTAAAATACCAAGCAGTGGCCTGGAGCGGTGGCTCACGCCTGTAATCCCAGCACTTTGGGAGGCCAAGGCAGGTGGATTGCCTGAGGTCAGGAGTTTGAGACCAGCCTGGCCAACATGGTGAAACCCCGTCTCTACTAAAAATACAAAAATTAGCTGGGCATGGTGGCAAGCACCTGTAATCCCAGCTACTCAGAAGGCTGAGGTGGAAGAATCGCTTGAACCTGGAGAGGCAGAGGTTGCAGTGAGCCGAGAATACACCACTGCACTCCAGCCTGGGCAACAGAGCGAGACTCTGTCTCAAAAAATAAAATAAAATAAAAATAAAGCAGTAAGTGGGGACAGAGGCATGCACATGGCCAATGGCAGCACCAATGTGGAGCAGCCAGTTCATGAGGAGGCAAAGACCAAAGAAGGATCCTGAAAGCAGGGACGCTGGACCAGGACACCTAGGACTGGTGGAAGCTCCTGGGCATAGGGTGGGGGAAGGAAGGCACTCGGGGACCCTCAACAGAGGGAGCACTGTGCAGGCAGCAGCTGGCGCATGTGGCGTGAGCAGAGGTGGGGGTGGAGAGGGCAGGAGAGGCGGCTTCAGGGGGCAGAGCATGAAAGGAGCTCCTGCTGGAGTTTCATGGAGGGGTGATTGGTCAGAAGGCTCAGGTGGAGATTTGGGAAGTTCTGTGAAAGGTGGCTGTGACTGATGGGGACAAGCCTGGAGTCTGAGGAATTGGTGAGGAGGCTGATGCATGTAGATTAGAGGAAGATGTGAGTACTGTGTGAGAACAGAGGTAGCAGAGTTGGATGGGAGAAGGGTTCGGAGATGTCCAAGGAGCCATTCAGGGTAAGAGCTGAAAATCATTCCACAGAGGTAGGACTCTTTGGCAGAGGGAACAGCTGAATCCAGGGGAGGGCATGAGGGGGCTACCTGAGCATGTGGGCATGTGGCAGGGGAGAAAGGTGGAGGTGGGGCTGGGCAGAGGGAACACTGCTTGGGAGAGCCCCTGCCAGGGACAGGCCTGGGAATGCAAGCAGAGTGGGGTGGGGCAGCAGAAGGAGAGGCCAGCGACCCCAAAGGAAGGAAGAAGTGGGGGTAAAGGAGGAAAGAGTTGGGGCAATCCTTGCTCAGAGCACAGTGAAATGCTGTTTGCTGGGGGGAGGAAGTTAGTCCCTGTGGCCACTTTGTGCACCGTCTGGCCTCACTGCTGCCTTCATAGACTCCTGGAGCCACTCTTCATTCTTCGTAAGACTAGGTGACCGCATGATACTGAGCACCTAAGTGTGGCTGATACTAGCCATGGAAGAGGAGCAGCCCTTATGCTCAGGGGTCCCGGTTGATTAGGGCGGGGGTGCACATCAACCCCATCCATTAAACAAAGCAACCGACAAGTAACATCAGTACAGGAAGGCACCTAATATGAAATGAGCGAACGCTAAAGGGATGCCAGAGAGAAGACGCCAACAAAGAAGGAAGGCAGGGATACCCTCTCTGGCTCTGGAGCCTTGGGACTGGCGGATGCGACATCCATAATTCATAGCCCATCAATCCTGGAGGGTCCAGCGCTTTGACCCCTTTGGAAACGGCCCTCTTCTCTGACAGCTGAGCCCTTCCCCTTGGAGGCCTAGGGCAGAAAGGTTTCTCTGCAAGACATACGCTCGTGCCCTGCAGCCAGCATGATGGATGAGGAGGCCAGAGCTGCTGGAGCCAGTGGGGCTGAGCAGGGAGAGAAATATGATGCAAAGCAATTTTAAAAGGAGGTTCTTAAGGGCTGGCTGGGGGTGGGGCAGTTTGGTCCCTCTCTCAGCCATCTATCTCACCTGTCTGTCTCTCCAACTAGGTCCTCAGTTCTGTGGCACAGATGACAGGTTGGGGACAGCAGAGAGGGAAAGGTGAAAGATCAACAGTCCGTGAGATCTTCTCTCTTCTCTCTTCAGGGCTATGGATCTGGAAAGCTCCTGGGTGCATTGAGGAGTAGCTCACCTAGCAGCCAAGACCTATTCCCTGCCCCAGTGCCCCAGTGCCCCAGAAACAGGCCAAGCCCCAGACTCTCCTGGCATAGATACCGGCTCTGGTCCAGCCTCACACCATCAGGTATGGGAGACGCTGGGACCAGCAGCTAGCAGAGGGAAAATGACATATCCTAGGATTCAATCCAATCAGGTTTCCATCCCAGGGACCAAGGTAGAATAGAACAGCAGCCATTCTCTCTGGGAGCCGAACCCTGCAATTGAAGCTGCCTGGCAGGCTCGGCAGCCTGTAGGTGTGACCGGTAAGGCCTCAGCCCACTCTTTCCCCAGCCCTTGAATTCCATTTGTCCAGGCCTCCAGGCTGTACGGCACCCCTGCCATGTGCACATAAGACAGCAGGGAAGCTGACAGGCGACCACTGTCCTCCCACTCCCCATCAGCTGCTAGGTGAGTGGGGAGCAAAGAAACAGAAAGTCATGGGAACCACCCTCCCTTGCTAAGCAACAAATGTGCTAAGATGCTGAGCCAGGGGAGGGGGGACTGGAGCTGGGGGCAGCTGGTATTATTGGTCTCACCTGCCCAACAGACAGAAAATGGCTACATTATTGGTTGGGTAATTGAACTGCCTCTCTTTCCAGAGGTGAGCATGGGGCAGTCAGAATTACAGAGCATCTCTAAGCAGAGGCCTCCACTGCCTGTAGTTCCCTCCCTCCTAGGTATGGGTCCTGGGGAGGTTATACTTGGGGGGCAGTAACTGTAGGCAATAATGCTAACAGTGACAGACATGGTGCTCGGGACAGGAAGGGAGCCTTGGGCTGGGGTGGGCTGGAAGATTCCTCGGAGGAGGCAGCCGGTGAACTGACACTGCCCCTCCTCATTCGCTTAATGAGCCTGCCCTCAGGCCAGGCAGCCATGGAGGGCGTGCCCACACTGACAGCTGCCTAAGCACAAGCTTGTGCTTGGCAGGAACTGGCCTTGCCCACAGTAAGTGTGCAGTACAAATTTGTAGGAAGAATAAAAGGCTGCGGCAGCGAGTGTGTTTCTGAAAGTGAGAAGCTGGGAGACAGCTCTGCTGCTGGCTCTCTCCCACTCCTTCTCTCAGAGGCGGCTTCTTCTTCCTGATTCCTCCCCCTCCTGACCCCCAGGTCCTATGCAAGTATGGGAAATCCTCTGGGTACCCCAGGGAAAGAACAGGGGCCCTCCCTTGGGGCTCTTGCACCCAGCATGGCTGGTGGTGGTCAGAGAAGCCAGAAGGATGAAGCTGCCCTGGGCGCACACAGAATAGCATGTTCTGCTTTCCAGCCCACCCCCTCTCGGGGGCACAGAGCGTCACTGCCACCCTGTCTGTTCCTCAGAAAGCTCCAGAGAGTCCAGGCATGGTGGCTTACACCTGTAATCCCAGCACTTTGGGAGGCCAAGGCTGGAGGATGGCTTGAGCCCAGGAGTTTGAGGCCAACCTGGGCAACATAGTGAGACCTCATCTTTACAAAAAATAAAAATAAAAAATCAGCCAGGCATGGTGATGCAAGCCTGTAGTCCCAGCTACTCAGGAGGCTGAAGTAGGAGGATCACTTGAGGCCAGGAGGTCGAGGCCGTAGCGAGCTGTGATCATGCTGCTGCACTCCAGCCTGGGCAACACAGCAAGACCCTGTCTCAAAGCACACACAAAATAATAACAGAAAGAAAGCTCCAGAGGCTCCCTGTACCCCACCTCCCACTCTCCACTCTGCCCCACCCTGCTCTGCACCCCGTACCTGAAGGATTGACTTCTAAGGCTGCACCAACCAGGCCTTTGGTAGGGTCAGTTATGGAGACCTGACTGTGAGGATGAAAGGCTGTGGATTGCTCTCCACTCACTTACACACCCTGCTGGGCCTGGGGTGACCGTGGTTCTCCCCTGTGAAGGCCACGCTTCTGTGGGGCAGCCCCTCCTCCAGCCGTGCGCTCTCCAGGTCCCAAATGACTCTGCTCTGCTGCCTTCAAGGTGCTCTGCACTCCCTCGCCAGCTCCCCTTAGCCCAGCCCTGTTACATTCGCCATCTCTTCTGCTGGACTTCCACTAATACACACCTCGCACTTGCTCCCCTGACCAGGAAGAGAAAATAGGGAGAAAAGATGCTTTAGACTGCACTTCCTCCTTAAACAAGGCCTGGTCTGGTTAGTGCATGCAGATGGACCTGGGTTTAAATCTTAGTTCTGCCACTAGGTAAGTTATTGTTCTCCTGTTTTACTTTCTCCATCTGCAAAATGGAAATACTATCCTACTCAGGGCTGTCATGAGGATCGGATTAAATAATGTGCACACACATAGTGCTTACCACTATTTGATACTTAGAGCTCCACAAACAGAAGCTATTGTCCTGCTGTAAGAGAAGTATGACCTGCCCGAAGGTCTCCCACTTTGATCCCCTTTTGAGACCAGCCAGCAGTCCTGGTGACCGAGGTATGGGGCTGCTCTGGGTCTGTAAGAAACCGCCGGACAGTTCCTGGAACACGTATCTCAGCTCCTTCCCACTGCTGCCGGACAGTTCCTGGAGCATGTATCTCAGCTCCTCCCCTCTGGAGCTGCCCCTTCTCTCCCCGCTCACCCCCAAAAGCTTACCTTCCCAGGATACCGTGCCATCAGAACAGCCCAGGAGCAGCAGGTGTGTGTGTTTGAGGGGGCAGGGGAGTTAACAGAGACCCTTTGTATTAGCATCCCATTTGTCAGGGCAGGGACAGAGGCAGCCTGCCTCTCTCATGCATCTCCAAGTTTCCCTGGGAGAAGCTCATCAAGCTCATTATCATAACCAAGATCACAATGCTGGCTCCTTTCATCTCTGTGTATTGCTTGCTGTGACTCATTCACCAAGTGTCAGGGCTGATTAGGAGTCATTGGAGTTGTGTGGATCCAGATACGTCACTCCTTGGGAGTGGAAATCAGGTGACACAGGTGAGGCCAAGGTGACCCAGCAGCAATACTGCAGCCCCAGCCAACACCAGGCCTCCCAGGTGCCGAACACCTCCTAGGTCTATCATGTTCCCTGCCCCAACCATATGCTACAGCTAGGACACAACTTAGCCAGAAAGAGGAAAGGGAGAGAGGCAGTAGGGCCTATAGGACAGCCACTGTGTGCCAGACATGGGATTAAGCACTGTACACCCATGGTCTCATTTGATCCACACGTTCAATCAGATCCCATCTGCGTTTTACAGTTAAGAAAAATCTCTAAGGCTCAGGACGGTGGTATTCTTTGCCACATGACGCACAGAGCGTTCATTGGGGGGCTGCCAGCCCTACCTCCCCAAGGTGCTTTCTCCTGGAAAGGAATGCATCCTCACTGTGAGCAGGGTTGGGTGTCCACAACTGGGGGTGCAGCCATGGGAATGATGCCAGTCAGTAGACAAAGGATGAAATGGCTGAGCTGGTCAGGCCCGGGGTGGCTGGGAGCAACACACAGGGTGGGGAGTGGGGTCAGAAATGCCTGGGCTGAGGGCCATTCAACACCAGAGGCCCTTTGGGTGAGGAGCTGGGCCCAGGTGCATCTGCTGTCCTCTGAAAGATCCCAGAGGAGCTGGTGCATGGTGGGGAGGGGACAGAGGAAAAGGTACAAAACAGTTTTGCTTTGTTTTTTGAAGGGCTGGCTCTAATGCCAAAGAGACTCAGCCTTCGGGGTGGGACACTGCAGGGAAGACTGGACCAAGACTGTGGCTGGCCAGCCATGCCCCACAGGAGAGACAGGGGAAGTGGGCAATTCTATCAGAGGCCCAGGAGCCAGTCTGCCAAAGTGATCTCAGAGATGACATCATTGTCCACCATTGCGTTAGTCCCTAAGGCGACTCAGACAGAAACAAAGGGAAGGAGAGAAGCCAGGCAGACGGAGGAGAGCAGAGAAGTTCTTGGTGCACCCTGAGGAGGAAAGAAAGCCCTTTTCCTGGGGCGTTCTGGTGTGCAGGGTGCCTAGGAGGCACTCATGTCTGCCTCCTCCATCCTGTCTTCTCTTGGAAAGTAGAGGGGCCCAGATGTCAAAACAGCACCAGCTACAGGACTTCTAAGAGATGTTTCAGTACAGACATTCAGCAACAATGTGTCTGGGACATCGCCTGTCATGGACACTTTGGAGCAGACAGGTGGGCCCTCATCTAGACCCAGAACTCACCAGTGTCCACCACAAAGGCCTGTGATCATTTTTAACTGTTAACACCTAATCCACATCATATTTTCAGTAGAACTGAAAAATGCTCACATTACAAGACCATTTGTGGGTGTATGAAATAGTTAATATTTTTGATTTATTACATTTTCACTTGGCTTTTATTGGCCCTCCTCCCCTCTGCATTTGCTGTCAGGGCTTTATGTGCCATGAACTTGTATGAACTCAAGACATAATCACATCCTGGGCAGTGGGAGGGTGCCACGCCTCAGTCAGCCTCAGAAACCACCCCCCTAACCCGCCCCCAGTAACCCTGAGGCGGTAACAGACAAAGGCTTCCACCAGCCAGGGTGGTCTTACCCTCAGCACGCTAATGCAGGAGGGTGCCTAGTGGGCACACCGGGAGTCACAGCTTGGGCCACAGGATATCCCCCCAGTCCAGAGCCATCACTGACTCCAGAGCCCAGGCAGGTGGCTCTCACACAGGGCAGGCTTAGTTCTCTGGTGATTACATGTGGGATGACTCTACGCTTAATCAGGGTGGTTAGAGCCTACAGAGAACAGAGTTGGACCATGCAGGACTGATATCTGCATAGATCTGGAAGATTCTGCCACCAGTGATCTGCCATGGGGTTTTTCTCATCTATAAGAGTGTATGCCCTGGCTCCAATCCCAGCCCTGCCCCATCCTAGCTGAGTGACCTTGGGCACGCCACTCTGATTCTCTGAGTTTCTGTTTCCTCTGTCAAGTGTGCTGGAAAGTGCGGCATTGGAAAGGCTGATGTGATAAAGGAGATAACATGGGCGAAGCTCCTGACACATGCCTGAAACCTAGTGTGGGTTCAACAAGCATGAATTCTCTCTCACCCTCACCCCAGCCCCAGATAAATGACCAGCATGTTGTGGCCACAGCCCAGCTAGGCGCTTCCCACCCACCATCACCACTCCTTACCTGTTCCACAGACACCCAAACAGATTCAGTTCGCCCCTCAGCACCAGCAGGCACAGGGGAGTGGGGAGGACGCTGGGTGATGGTGGAGGGGGCAGAAAAGGGAATCCTCCCTGGTGTGAGGAGGAGAATTGGTGGTGTACCCAGCAGAGGCAGCCCCAGCTATGCCCCAGCTGGAAAAAACCGCCAGCTGGCCTCCGTGGAGGGAAGCCCAGGGTGGTGCCATTCCCCTCTCCATCCCCCCTTCCCTGCCACCAGACAGAGGCAGGGTGTTTGTGGGTTGAGTTCTCTCTATGACTCTGGAGCCCTGGGGACCTCACCTGCCTGGCTGAAAAGGTCCCGATGCCCCACTCTGCACCTGTCCTGGGGCCCTGGAGGCTGGTGTTTCCAACAATAGCTTCCAGCCCTGATTAAAATGCTGCAGCAGGGAGCATCAATAACCATTGGCAGCTGAGCCTCTAATAAGTATAATAATCACCATTAGGGAAAAGAGTAGGGGAGTGAGTGGGGCTGGTAATACAGTGATTATATTAATCTGCCTCCAGCCCAATCTGCATCCCTCTGCTCTTGGCATGCCCTCCTGGAGCCCGGCAGGAGGCACGGCGGCCAGCCAGAGCAGCCGGCCTGGCTTCACCCTGCCCCCAGCCTCTGGAGCTCCGCGGCCCCCACGCCCACTCCTTTCACCGACCTGAATAAAAGCTCCCTGCCTGGATGGGAGGAGACAAAGGGAATATTAGGAAGGTGGGTAGGGAAAGAGAGAGGCGTGAGGAACTCTGTGCATGGAGACGAGCGGACAACTGCTGAGCCTGAGTCTGGGGTTTGGAGTTCAGGTTTTGAGAGTGTCTCACTTCCTGAGCAGCATGGGGCTGGTAATTTATTGAATCTCATTTAATAGAAATGTACATCATGCTTACCATGTGCCAGGCATTGCTTAAAGCATTTTGCTGCTATCAACTCACTGAATCCTCATAATAGCCAACAAGGTAGATGTTATCCTCACTTTGCAGATGAGGAAACTGAGTCGCAGAGTTGGTTAAGTAACGTACCCAATGTGATGAAACCTTAAGTGGTAGATCCAGGACTTGAACCAGGTGGCCCAACTTTACTGTCTGTGCACTTCATCCCTTTCTATGCGGCTTCTATACCTCCACGGCTGGCACGTAGTAGACACTCAATAAACAATATTGACTGCTGGTGCACTAGGTGCCCCAAGGTCCTCCTCATGCCCTCACTCCCAGACCCTGCCAATTATGATATTTAGCACTATCCTGTTCCCCTTCGTATGTAAACCCCCATCCCAGAGTCTGAGAATGTTTCAAAATGCGTTTCTAACAAGCACTGGCAAGCGTGGAAGCGTCCTGGGTCTGTGGCAGAGCACCTCTTGTTCCTTCTTCTCCACTTTGTCTAGGTCTTGAATACGGACCAGGCCGTCCTCATGGCTGTGGGAACATGACACCAACCCAGAGGCCCTCTAGAGTGCTTTTTCTGGTGACATCCTTGCCTAGCCCTTCCATGTGTCTGATCTACTCTAAAAAGCCTAAAACTAAGTGAGCTGGTCTACTCAGCCACCGCCTTTCAGAGGAGGAGTTCGTTTGTCTCCAGAGGAGGAGTTTTATGAGGACGATATTAAGGTATTCATTAGAAATGGCCATGCAAGGCCGGGCGCGGTGGCTCACGCCTGTAATCCCAGCACTTTGGGAGGCCGAAGTAGGCAGATCACGAGGTCAGGAGATCGAGACCATCCTGGCTAACACAGTGAAACCCCGTCTCTACTAAAAATACAAACAAATTAGCCGAATGTGATGGCGGGCGCCTGTAGTCCCAGCTACTCAAGAGGCTGAGGCAGGAGAATCGCTTGAACCTGGGAGGCGGGGGTTGCAGTGAGTTGAGATCACGCCACTGCACTCCAGCCTGGGCAACAGAGACAGACTCCGTCTCAAAAAACAAACAAACAAACAAAAACAACTTCCTGCGCTCTTCTCCCCTAGGCCCAAGCAACCGCCATTCTACCTCCTGCCTCTGTGAATTTGACTACTCTGGGTACCTCATAAATTTGAGGAAGTGGCTCTATCATGATTTAGTTAACTGTTCTCTTAGGATTGATTACACAGATTGTTTCTGATTTTTCCTTATTATCAGTAATGTGGCAACAAATATATTTGTGCAACCAGTTTCTTTGTGTGGTTAGGATTATTCCCTTGGGATTGTCAGAATCAAGAATTACTGAGAAAAAAATAACCTGAACATGTTTAGGTTTTTGATGCATATTATCAGTTAGCTATCCTAAAGGATTTTAGTGGTTTATGTATTGCACCTGAAGCATTATATTAGCAATGTATAAACTTGCCTGTTTCTCTGTAAACTTACCACCACTGGCTTGTAAAAAAATGCATTGCTAATTTTTTAGGCAAAAATCGATACATCATTGTTAGACTAAAAATTTGTTGTGGCAACTGGAGTTTAGTGGAAAGAGTGCGGAACTTGGAGTCAGATCTATTTTTGGAAGTTGAGTATAGAGCAAAATGTCCCCGGAACTGAAAGGAGAACAAATAGCCACTCTTTTGAGCAGTTAGGCCCTAAGTGGGCTGGAAGAATGAAAGGAAAGGGAAGGAAAAGAGACTGATCTTTGTATACTGGGCACTGCCTTAGGAGATGGGAAGTTAAAGTCAGTAAGGCAGTCCCTTGATCTGTTCACAACTGAATAGATTGTGAAAAACAAACAAACAAATACGCCATTTTACAGATGAGAAAACTGAGGATGGGAGCTATAAAATAACTTTTGCAAGATCATACAATTCATCAGTAATGATATGAACTGCTAACAGCAATATATAGACTGCTAACCCCTAGCTAGACACTGTGCTAAGTACTTCATAAAGATCATCTCATTTGCTCATTACCTCCCCAAATCCCCATGAAGCTGGTCCTATTTGTTCCCATTGTATAGACTTCCCAGCATCACAGAACCCAAAGCACACTTGGGCAGCCTGCCTCTGCAATTTGATGCCAAGGCCTGTATGCACACCCTATCGTCTCTCACAGCACTGGACACCCCATTGCAGACAACACGGGGGCTCCTAAATGCCTCCCTCTGTTTGCTCCAGGCTGTTTCCTCTTCTGGAGACACCCTTCCCTATCCCCCACCCTTTTTTGGACTTGGCTAACCCATTCATAAGGATCAGCTCAGAATCAGCCCTGCCCCCTGCACCCCTGCCTCACCACATGCATGCCGTAGGTGTCCCTCTTACATGCTTTAGTGGGTAGACCTATTGCAGCACTTGTCCCACTATAGTGTCATTGCGTATGTGCCTGTCTCCCCAGGGAGATGCCTTTCAGATTATAGGCTGTGTTTTTATCCCAGTATTCCTTTACCTTAGCACTCCTGGCACACAATAGGCCTCAACAGGTGTTTGTGAATGAATGCTGTCTGTCATTCAAGCCCAGATTTGACCCATTCCAGAGACCGAGACTGAGGAATTTCCAGCAAAGCCGAATAAGGCAGAGTGGGAGGATGCACCGAAGCTGGAGCCCTGGGATCTTCTCCTGGGGATAACTCTGCAATCTCTTGAGCCAGCCTGAGATTTTCCATTCTCCACACCTTCACCTTGAGACCAATAGGACTTCTCATAAAGAACCTGGGGTGCTCAGGAGGGAGACTCTATGGAGGCACAGAACCTTCAGCCTGGTGGGAGGGCAGTAAATTAAATTTCTCTGCTAACAAGCTCATCCCGGAACAGCCTCCCCTACAGACTGGTCCTCTGGGAATAGAGACCTGGCTGTTTTCTTTTTCTGCTGTCATAGCCAGTTGCTGGCTGAAAGTGCAGGAGGCCCAGGAAGCTGCTGGCACACAAGAGGAAAGAGAATGGGGCTTGGGGATGGGGGTGAGGGGTTCAAATGCTGCCTAGAACCTGCCACTGGCAGGTTCTCCAGGGAGGCTGGGGAAGCCTTCTAGACCACAGACCACCAGGCCCAGGGCGTGAGATTCTAACTTCCCTCAGAAATGGGCCCACACAGGCCAGGTACACTGGCCCACACTTGTAATTCCAGCACTCTGGGAGGCTGAGGTGGGAGGATCACTTGAACCGAGGAGGTGGAGGCTGCAGTGAGCCAAGGTCATATCACTTGTACTCCAGCCTGGGCGACAAAGTGAGACCCTGTCCCTAAAGCAAACAAACAAACCAAAACCTGTCAGTGACTTACTGTTTGATATCCTGGTCATCATTATGGGAAGAAACAGAATTCTTGGTGTTCCTTACTCTAATTTATCTCTGGTTTAACTTTATGTTATGGGGATGTGGGGGCAGTGAGGAAAGCACCAGTGTCTTTTTACGGCCCAGGACATCCTAAGTACCTTACCCCAGTCCTGGCAAGCTTGCAGGACATGCTAAAGATGGGAGCCTTTAGTTGGCATCGCTTACTTGGCCTGGGATGAAGTCTTGACCTCCCATCTGGAGCTAAATGTCCAAGCCAAGGGGCATCTGGGGGTGGGACTGCCCTTTGCCCAGCCACGGCCTTGTGGGCTGATGGCAGACAGTCATGTTCTTATGAGCCACTTCCCCCAATGGCTGACATTTCATCTTTGGAGAGGAAAGCTACCAGAGTCAAAGAGGGAGGCGGGTAAGAGAGGACTAGGCTATACCTTGCACGATTAGTCTTTCATAAGTAGTGTTTAAGGATCAGGATGAAAAATTAAAAAAGCAAAAAACAAAACCAGCAAGCCAATTCCTCTCAAGAAACTTCCCTGAAAGAAAAGGGAGGAAATCAATATTTAATTCAGACTTCATTGATTTGCAGTTTGGGTACCACACTCAGCACTCGATTCTGTCCCGGTTTCCCAGTAAGAGATTATGGAGTCCCTGGCAAAGGATACTAAAGGGCCTGAGGGAAAGGCAGCGCCAGGGAAGAGAAGCCGGGAACTTTGTCTTGAGTCAACTTTCCCCAGCTGCTCCCTGCCCCAGTGTGGGGCACCTCCCCTCCCTGAGGGCTTCGCTGAGCTGGGAGGGATGAACCAGGCCTTCCTTGGCCCACTCCCCTGCCTCTGAGAAGAGCAGCAGCCAAACCCCCCCTCAAAGAGCTGTGTGCACTTGACACAAACGTGCACTCTCTCTCTCTCACACACACACACACACACACACACTCACACACCACTCCTCCACTCACATACCACACCTACAGACACTCACATAAGCTCACACAACACACACACTCTCACACACACTTGCACACCACTCCTACACTCACATACCCACCTAGACACACTCACATAAACTCACACACCAAACTCCCCCCCCACACACTCTCACACACCACTCCTACACTCACATACCACACCTACACACACTCACATAAGCTCACACACCACACACTCACACACTCACACACCACTCCTACACTCACATACCCACCTAGACACACTCACATTAGCTCACACACCACACACACTCACATTAGCTCACACACCACATACACTCACATTAGCTTACACAGCACACACACTCACATAAGCTCACACACCACACACTACATTAGCTCACACACCACACACACTCACATTAGCTCACACACCACACACACTCACATAAGCTCACACACCACACACTACATTAGCTCACACACCACACACTCACATTAGCTTATACAGCACACGCACGGCACACACACTCCCACACACACACCCTCTTACGTACATTCACATACACTCCATACCACATACACTACACACACATACACCACACACACACACACACAAAATGCCCTAACTTTACTTAACTAGCCTAAAAAAAAACCCCTAATTTTTCAAAGATACAAACTGAAGTATCTAGGAATGAAAAATCATACCTGTAACTTACTCTAAAATACTTTGGAAAATAAAAGACCAAAAAAACTTAGCCAGGAAACTTCAAAAGTTCACAGTTCTTTTCTTTTTCATTCCTCAGGCCTTCTAGCTAATCTAAGCTATCTAAAGTCTAGTCTAGGCTGCGCGCAGTGGCCAGACCTGTAACCCCAGCACTTTGGGAGGCCGAGGCGGGCGGATCACTTGAGCCCAGGAACTGGAGACCAGCCTGGATAATGTGGCGAAAGCCCTACAAAAAATACAAAAATTAGCCAGGCATGGTGGTGCATGCCTGTAATCCCAGCTACTTGTGGGGGCTGAGGCAGGAGGATTTCTTGAACCCGGGAGGTCGTGGCTGCCGTGAGCTGAGATCATGCCATGGCACTCCAGCCTGGGTGACAAGGGAGACCCTATTAAAAAAAAAAAAAAAAAAAAGTCTAGCCTAAATCCATGTTGTTGCAAATGAAGCATGTGCCATTCTGTTCCAACACTGGATGGCAGAGAAACTGGCTGCTCACCCCCCCACCCCACCCCCACCCCAATACCCAAACAGATGGGAAGGCAGTGACTAAATGCTGGAAGAAAAATTGAATATCCCCACGAACACATGGCCAAGCTATCAATCAGCCACTCATCAAATTCTGTGGCAGAGCCGCCCTGCTGGTGAGAGGGGCATGTAGGGTGGGACAGTAATGACAGAAATATGGAGAAGTATGATTTGAGCACCTCAGCCTTCTCTGTCAGCATGCAGTCTACGTGGGGAAATAAGCTCAGAGCACCCAGGATCAGAGAGCTCCAAGTCAGCAATAAATGGCCTAGTGGGTCAGACCATGATTTTTTAAAAAATTAATTAAAATAAACAACACACAAAATTCTCTCCTAGCACTTCAGAGCTTATACAATTTCCAATGCTCTTCTCCATCTGTTGCCTTAGTTGGTTCTTGTTGAGAATACTATAAAATGGTTATGGTTGGAATTTTGTGTCTCCATTTTACAGATGAAGACACTGAGGCCCGGGAAGTTGTGTAAATGAGCAGCATAGAGTGGTCAATGGCAGGGCTGGGACCAACACCCATACCACTCCCACATGGCTATTCTTTCTTGCAACTTGAGAGGGCTTCTGGATACGCCACCCCACCGCCACCACCGTGAGCCCAGGGCTCAGAGCTGGGCAAGCTCTAGGCAATCTTCCTGAGCTTTCTTCCTCTCTCAGCCCAGCAGCAGATGCAGCCAATATCCAACTACCCAATCCTTCTCAATATCTATGAACCCTCTCAGTGATCTGCCTCTGATCCCCTCCAGCACACAGAGTTTGTGTAGGTGAATTTGTATGGGAATGTATGCAGTGGAGACAAGAGTCTGGAATCCGAAGGCCTGGGTTTTCAGTCTGTCTCTATGTTCAGTTGGCTGTTCTACCGTGGAACCCCAAGTCCTCTTTTTGGCCCCACTGGTTCCTCTGTTCTTCTCAGGTCTCCTTTCTAGCCTCAGGAATGTGCCGAAACTCAGAGAACTGCTTGTTCTCTGAAAAGCTGCCACCACCCACACATCCCCTGGGGTTCTCCTCTTTCTGTGCAGTAGGATGCTGTCCCCCCAGTTCTCGTTTCCCTGCTGCCCCCATGCAGTAGGATGCTGTCCCCCCCAGTTCCTGTTTCCCTGCTGCCCCCATGCAGTAGGATGCTGTCTGCCCAGTTCCCATTTCCCTGCTGCCCCCATGCAGTAGGATGCTGTACCCATTTCCTGTTTCCTTGCTGCCCCCATGCAGTAGGATGCTGTCCCCCAGTTCATGTTTCCCTGCTGCCCCCATGCAGTAGGATGCTGTGCCCCCAGTTCCTGTTTCCTTGCTGCCCCCATGCAGTAGGATGCTGTGCCCCCAGTTCCTGTTTCCTTGCTGCCCCCATGCAGTAGGATGCTGTGCCCCCAGTTCCTGTTTCCCTGCGCCCCCATGCAGTAGGATGCTGTCCCCATTTCCTGTTTCCTTGCTGCTCCCATGCAGTAGGGTGCTGTCCCCCCAGTTCCTGTTTCCCTGCTGCCCCCACGCAGTAGGATGCTCTTTTACCATTTCCTACTTTCTTACTGCCCCCAAAAACATGTAGATAGGTGGTTCCCCTCATCAGGAGTTCACTGCTCATTACTCAGGGGAATGGATGGGAGATTAAATTATCAAGCAAGGGGAAATGACAAAGGTTCCAAAATTTGTGACATGTACCTAGTCTTGGCCCCTCTTGTGTAAAGTTCTTTTGTTATTTTTATTTATTTTTTAAGAAAAGACAGGGGTCCCCATTTGTTTTCATCATCTGATTTTGTTCACCCAAGTGGGCTCTGTGACTTCCACCATCTTTTGGCCATCCCTGTGTTAGCAAAGGCCGCACTGATTCCTTTCCTCCTGCTCGTCCTGCTTCTCAGCACTTGGGCCTAAAAATGCAGGTAAGGCAGAACAGTTCCTGTCCTTCTAGCTGATATGGGTTCACTAGCTCTCTGTCTCACCCAAAAATGATACTTTCTCAGCATTTCTGCATTAGCTTGTGGCCTTGGCCAGGGCTCCTGACCACTCTAAGCCCAGGATTCCTGATCTGTGAAAAGAGGCCAAAAATACCTCCTTCCCAGTGTTGAGATAATGGACTGAAAGTGCCTTGGACATTGCAAAGGGCAATTCTATCGTGAACTTTTTATTGTACCTAAATAAAAAAGAAATGATCAATGCCTCTCATTAATAGCTATAATTTATTGAGTGCCAACTAGGTGCTGGTTACTATATTTAGTGCTCTACGTACATTATTGCAAATACTCTCAAGAACAGTAAGGAAGGAATGACCCCATTTTATAAATAAGTGATCTAAAGTATTCAACTAAGTGGTAGAGTTGAAATTTGACCCTAGGTGTGTCTGCTTGCAGTTTGTATTTTTCCCTACCCCAATCTGTGTTTTAAACAAACCCTATACCACACACAGGCTTCCGTTGCTATATTTATCACATTATATTTGTGATATCACATTGTGTGTGATACATCATTGTATCATGTACACATGTACACCTTGTATTATTACACGTGTGTGATACACATGTGTATCACTTTGTAATTTGCTTGTTTATAGGTTTCTCATCTAGGAGACCATGCCCTGGTGGTGGCCCAAGACTATACATCTTGGTCATTTTTGTAGCATCGGCTCCTCTATGGCTGTCACATAATAGGCATTCAGTAGGTGTTAGTGACTGATTTTATAAGTATAGCTATTCATCCAATCTGATTTCCTCCTCACCCTCTTCAGAAGCCCAGTTTAGAGGTGAGGAGTGGGGGGCTGAGAAATAGAGCATGCAAGCCCTTTGCCATTCTCCACCTAGGGGGCTCTAAATCCAGAAGCTGTCCCCAGAAATCTGCCTCCTCCCAAAGTTCTAAGAGCTCATACATATTCATAATAGGCAAATACACTGAGAAGATATATTTATTTTGTTTACTAAACTGGCATCTCTGCAAATTTATAGCAGAAAATGACTAAGTCTGTTTCCTTGTGTGCTTTCATAGCCTGAAAGTTGAATTGATGTTGCCTCCAAGACTGGCAGAGTGAGGAGGCAAGAAAATCTGGGCCACCACCCGCCCAGAGCTAGCCCAGGGAGACAGGGACACATGACTGTTCACAGGCAGCCCTGCCAGGGAAGATGATGCCCACTGCGGTTTGGGAGGCTCAACAGATAACACTCCTCTATTCTCTACCCAAGGGGGGAGAAGAAACAAAAGGAGAGTTAGACCAAAGAATTACAAAGACGGAGATAGAAAAATTAAAAACCCCAAACTATTGTACTTATTTATTTTTATTGTTTTTTGTTTGTTTGTTTTTGTTTTGTTTTGTTTTGAGACAGAGTCTCGCTCTGTCACCCAGGCTGGAGTGCAGTGGTGTGATCTCAGCTCGCTGCAACCTCCGCCTCCCAGGTTCAAGCGATTCTTCTGCCTTAGCCTCCTGAGTAGCTGGGACTACAGGCGCGCGCCACCACGCATGGCTAATTTTTGTATTTTTAGTAGAGACGGGGTTTCACCATATTGACCTCGGTCTCAAACTCCTGACCTCATGATCCACCGCCTCGGCCTCCCAAAGTGCTGGGATTACAGGCATGAGCCACCATGCCTGGCCTATTTTTATTGTTTTTAAACACAAGGTCTCACTCTGTCACCCAGCCTAGAGTGCAGTGGCACAATCATAGTTCACTGCAGCCTTGAACTCCTGGCCACAGGCAATCCATCCATCTCAGCCTCCCAAGTAGCTAGGACTTACAGGCGTGCACCACAACTCTCAGTTAATTTTTTTATTTTTGCAGCGACGGGGTCTATGTTGCCAGGCCGGTCTCCAACTCTTGGGCTCAAGCTCTCCTTCTGTCTTGGACTCCCAAAGTGCTGAGATTACAGGCGTGAGCTACCATCCCTGCCCTGCTTGCTCCCCCAAAAAAACTACTTCAACAAAATGTTTACGTGTGCTTACTGATGTTTCCTCCCCAACTACTGAATTTATCCTTTGCTGAGCATTACTTGAAATTGTCAAAAGCTGGAAGTAATGCAAAAAGATGACTGCTTGTCCTCTTGATGTTCTACTGTGATGTGTCTAACAGGCCCACCAAAATTTATTTCATTCACTATAAGAAACGAGTCTTTGCTTGCCTTCATATTGACTATATATTAGAGCCTGGATTCATTAACACTTATTAACATTACATGTTAATTTGTATATTTTTGTCTAGTAAAGATGAAAATTTTTGCTCTTTGGTAGAAGAATAATTGCGAAGGCTACAGTTTTGTTGCACTGTAGGATATTAACTGATTTTGCATCTAATTTAATAAACTTATTTATGCATTCTTTTCCCAACTAACTATATAAATCTCTGTCCATCAAATGCTCTTAAGAACCGTCTTTAACATACTGCTGGTTCCCTTGTTAACGAGTTAAATGGATCTTTGACACATGTCCATTCTATATTTGTATGGAAGCCACGTTTTAAAATTCTTTGAAAATTATACTTTGACCCACTTCCCCCTTAAACAGAAGCCTGTTCCAAAGAACCAGAACACGCTCTGCTCAGCTCACCTCATGGTAGAGGGAGCAGTTCAGGGTATATTAGGTTGATGCAAAAATAATTGCGGTTTTTGCCATTTTTTTTTTTTTTTTGAGACAGAGTCTCATTCTGTCACCCAGGCTGGAGTGCAGTGGCTCAATCTCAGCTCACTGCAACCTCCACCTCCCGAGTTTAAGCAGTTCTTCTGCCTCAGCCTCCCAAGTAGCTGGGACTGCGGGCATGCACCACCATGCCTGGCCAATTTTTTTTGTATTTTTAGTAGAGATGGGGTCTCACCATGTTGGCCAGGCTGGTCTTGAACTCCTGACCTCAAGTGATCTGCCCACCTCGGCCTCCCAAAGTGCTGGGATTACAGGCATGAGCCACCGCACCTGGCTCTGCCATTACTTTTAATGTAAAAAACTGCAATTACTTTTGCACCAACCTAGTAGATTGCAAGATGGAATTTCAGAGGGGCTCACCACATACATGCAGCTCCTTCTTTTTTCTTTTTTCTTTCTTTCTTTTTTTTTTTTTTTTTGAGGCAGAGTCTCACTCTGTTGCCCAGGCTGGAGTGCAGTGGCATGATCTCTGGTCACTGCAACCTCTGCCTCTTGGGTTCAAGTGATTCTCCAGTCTCAGCCTCCCAAGTAGCTGGGATTACAGGAGTGCACCACTACACCTGGCTAATTTTTGTATTTTTAGTAGAGACGGGGTTTTACCATGTTAGCCAGGCTGGTCTCAAACTCCTGACCTCAGATGATCCGTCCCCCTTGGCCTCCTAAAGTGCTGGGATTACAGGCATGAGCCATTGCACCCTCCTAAAGTGCTGGGATTACAGGCATGAGCCATTGCACCCGGCCCAGCTTCATCTTTAAGATCACTAATCAGGTAAATCACTCCCTTGCTCTTCCGGTGGAGTGAGAGAGGGCTGGGGTGAGAAACCAGGAACGTTACTCTAGCTAAGTTGTTTCTCATGGAAACAGGAAAAGTAGAGAATGCATTCATCCCCACTTATTAGGGCCCAGCATGAGAAACAGCGATAAGCCCAGTGGGAAACTGACCACTGGGCTGGTAGCGGATGGAGGAAGATGGGCAATGTACCTTTCCTGGTAAGGTCACCAGGACTAAAACTCCAAGGACACAGCCAATGGCCACCAGGACTCCATTTATTTAGAGGGTTAGCCTTCTGGTATCCAGGGCTGAGTCGGCTCAGGGCACTAGGAGCAGCTGGAGGTTCCAGAAGAGAAATAGAAATTCTTTGAGCAGCATCTCTGCCTAAACAACCCTAACTGCATCCTTCCCCATAGTGTTACTTGGGTTACCCTCAGGTCCTAGAAATCTAAACATGGTCTGGACTGCTGGGGAATTAACCCAGCCACATCTCAGATGACTGTGGTCTTAATTCAGACCAAGAAATAGACTGTATTTCAGCATTAATAGGGGAAGCATATAAAATTAATTTAAGACCTTTCATGCACCAGGTACTGGGTAGATGTTTTTGTATATTTTGTGTGTTGCAATCCTTATGACAACCTCATGAGTGAAAACTTATTATCTGCTAGATAAAATAAAACTAAGGCCCAGAGAGGCTAGGTGGCTTGTTCAAAGACACAGAGCAAATTAATATAGAGATGGGATCAGAATTAAAGTCTGTGGCACCAAAGCCTGTTCTTAACCCCACAAAGTCTCATTCAAGTGAGTAATTCAGCATCTCTCAGGTCAAAGTTCTGCAGATTCAGGCCCCGGTGCCTAACCACTGTGAGATGTCAGACAAAGGCTGACCTTGTTTCTCTTTCATGAGGATTACCACTTCTGACGTCTCCTAGAGCTTCCATGGAGAATGTAAAATTAAATGTGGACCCAGAATCGCAATCAATTTTCATTGCAGTTTCTGTTGGAGTTGGCTTACTTCTTTCCTTGAAAGGTTCTTGTAAGAACTAGCTGCAGTCACAAGATGATTCATGATTAGGAGCATGCTGAAGTTAAGATGGCCATTTGAGAAAACACAGAGCAGGCTGTGTCACCTCCTTGGCAGCCGGGAGGTCTTGGGTGATGACTCCCTTGTCTCTCGGCTCTTGGCCAACTGGTCCACCACTGACAAGCCTGTTCAAAGCCATTCTATCCCTCACAGCCCAGGGAGTGTTACCACTCCCCAGCCAAGAGCTGGAGAATCCTGTTCTAGCCACAGAGATAATATGTGTACAAGAAGAGTCTATCTTTTTTCCCTCCTTCAACCCCAATCCCATAGGGACAAGAAACAGAGGCAGAGACAGGGAGAATGAGTAGAGGGAGGAGGTTAGCACAAAGAGAGAAGAAGCCCATCGCCCGGCCCCTGCCCAGACAGCCCACCTTGGCAGCCCCAACAGCCCACCTTGGCAGCCCCAACCACACAAAAGGCTATAGCTTAAGTTGGAAACTTTTATTATTACACGGGGCTTGACATTTTAATTTCTAAATTGGGGCAGAGTTTGACAACTTAACATGACCCGAAAGACTTACCTAAGAGTGAATACAAAGTCAGAAGACTGGCTGGGTGCGGTGGCTCATGCCTGTAATCCCAACACTTTGGGAGGCCAAGGTGGGTGGACCACCTGAGGTCAGGAGTTTGAGACCAGCCTAGCCAACATGACAAAACCCCATCTCTACTAAAAATACAAAAATTAGCCAGGCTTGGTGGTGCATGCCGGTAATTCCAGCTACTTGGGAGGCTGAGGCAAGAGAATCGCTGCCATTGCACTCCAGCCTGGGTGACAGAGCGAGACTCCGTCCCAAAAAAAAAAAAAAAAAAAAGAAAGTCAGAAGACTGTGTGATTTTTTTAATACAGGAGCAGAGGAGGAAATTTTCCAAGGTAAATAAACTTTAAAGGAAAGTGAGAGACAAAATAAGGCACTTCCTGATTATAGCCCTTGAGTACTGTGTGTACACCATCCAAGTACCACTCCATATCCACCAAATGGGATCTGTGTCCTGCTTCCCACCTTTTCCCTAATTGTCCCCTGCAAACACTGCTGCAGACCACTGCCTTTCCCTGTCAGAGTTCCATCCTTCCATCAAAGACAGCCTTTTCCTTGTCTGCAGATGTTGGCCACCAGTGGTTGGGTCCTTTATGTCTTAGTCCCACAAACCCACAGCACAGTCCCAGACAGAAAATCTTGTTAGAGACTGAGCTATGTTCCTTCAAATTCATATGTTGAAGTCCCAACTGACAGTACCTCAGAATGTGACTCTATTTGGAGACAGGGCCTTTAAAGAGGGGATTAAGTTAAAATGAAGTCATTACGGCAGGCCCAATCCAATATTACTGGTGTCCTTAGAAGAAAAGGAGACCAGGAAACGGACACAGAGGGAAGATCACATGAAGACACAGGAAAGAGACAGTCATCTGCAAGCCAAGGACAGTGGCCTTGGAAGAAACTAACCCCATGAACATCTCCATCAATATTTGCTGAATTGTTTTTGAATAATACAAATCTTAAGTATCATTTTTAATTTTTTTTTTGAGACAGAGTCTTGTTCTGCTGTCCAAGCTAGAGTGCAGTGGCACAATCTCAGCTCACTGAAGCCTCCGCCTCCTGGGTTCAAGTGATTCATCTGCCTCAGCATCCCAAGTAGCTGGGATTACAGGCACATACCACCACGCCTGGCTAATTTTGTATTTTTAATAGAGATGGGGTTTCACCATGTTGACCAGGCTGGACTCGAACCCCTAGCCTCGAGTGATCCGCCCACCTCGGCCTCCCAAAGTGCTGGGATTACAGGTGTGAGCCACTGCACCTGGCTTTAAGTATAATTTTTAATGTCTTCCCAACACTTCATTATATGGCCACTTCATATTACATTTAATCAACTCCTACTGTTGAATTTCAGACTGCTTCCAAATTTTCCCTAGTTTAAAGAATGCCTCTATGAATATTGTTGTTCAGAGTTTTTGGTGTTCAATTGAATTATTTCCTTAGCATAAATTTTCATGAGCAAGATTACTTGTCAAAAGCAAGACTATGTTTATGGCTCTCTAGGACTATACCAATCTGAAACATTATCAGCACTGAATGAG
The DNA here is from genome assembly GCF_000001405.40 of Homo sapiens. Classification (NCBI taxonomy): domain Eukaryota; kingdom Metazoa; phylum Chordata; class Mammalia; order Primates; family Hominidae; genus Homo; species Homo sapiens. The sequence goes on from NC_000001.11 coordinate 203,536,748, forward strand.
TTCACCCATTTCCTGAGAGTCTTACCAGACTGGAATTTATCAACTTGAGGTCACTGTAGTCTGACCCAGGGATGCTGCTTCTTTTCACCTCTTGGGTATTGCTCCTATATTCAGGGGTCTGCCCATCCCCGTTGCCAACACAAACTACCTGCCCAAGTTCTCATATGTGTCTAAATCCTGATGAAAGTCTCTTTCTCCAGGAAACCTGCCCCACTTTATTCGGCAGGGCTCTGTTCTTTCCTATATTTTCCCTTCCTTCACACACTAATCTCTTTGGATTACGCAAACCCCCAAGTTGTTGGGCAATTGTGTACCAGAGAGTAGAGGGAGATGAGAGGCCTTACCAGAAAGATCCTGAAATTCTTGCTGATAAGGGCACCTCAGGCTCAAATGTTGAAATGAGAGAAGTAAAAGAGATGTCATCAGATTGTACCTAAGCTAATCAAGTGAGTCATGGTGGTTGCAAAGTTTGGCCGGGCTTACTGGGGTAGAGGTGAGGAATGGGATGAGGGGAGGTGGTGCCAAATGTCCAGAGTCCAGGTTGCCATTGAAAAGTGATCATGATTGGAACCCTGCCGGGAAGGCAGAGACCTGATAGCAGAGGGTTTGGTATCATGCTAATGAGTTCAGATTGTCACTGGAAAGACACAGGGGGCCATGAAAGGCTTTGAGGCAGGTGAGCTGATCAGTCTTAGACTTTTGTATAGTTGAGATAATGAACTGGCAAGGAGGGATATGAGAAGCAAGAAGGTCTGTTAGGAGGTTGTTTGTATTTCTCCAGTGGAGAGATGCCCAGGGCTTGAGCTAGGATCTTCAGCTTTTTAATTTGTGTTTGTATTGTCTCCTCAATAAGTGTGGCAGGCAGGACTCCTGGGGGGAAGAACTGTTTTCTGTTCCTTGTGTCTCTCCCAAGATGGTAGCACCATGCTTGGCACACAGTGCTGTGCACTTAAAGGCTTGTGAATACGCAGAGCCCTTTCTGGGGTGGAAATATCCAGGGGGTGAGGCAGCCACTGTTCCTCTGGCTTCAGGGAGCTTCCAGTCTGATGTGAGAGATCTAGAAACCATGGATCATCATCATTCAAAAGGACTTTAGAGAGCATCTAGTCAAACTCCCTCACTTTACAAACGGGAAATTGAGGCTCAGAGGAAGAAAGTAACACAAGATTGGAATCCAGATCTCCTGGCTCCTGGTCAAGGAAAGAAGCCATCTCACAGCATTTTTCATGAAGGAGTCATGGTCCCTGCTCTTGGGAAGCTTCCATCCAGGCAGAAGAAGCCCAGCATCTAGTCAGTTGTAGGGGCAGAATGCAATGTACAGGTGCAGGCACAGACATCAGCACTTAGGTGGGTACAGATACAACACAAACTGTAGAGAGCAGATGGGTGGGGGGGGTAAGCAGTGATGGAACATTTACTGTGAGCCAGGCACTGCAATCATGACTTTCACCAAATATGTACACAGTCTTCACCATTCATGAATGAGTTGATATGTTTACCCACGTCCACGTAAAAGATGAAGAAACCACAGCTCAGGCTGATAAGAGTCAGAGCCCTGGCTCAAAACAGGACTGGCCGCTGCCAAAGGCCTTCTCTCACTAGGGCTCCAAGCTGCCTCTGCTGAAGGCGCACAGGGTTGTAGGGTGACAGGATTTGATGTGGTGGCTGAAGTTCACTTGGTGTGGCAGAACTGGGAAATAAAAAACCTGTGTTGATATTTCCTTTCTAACCCTACCACATAGCAACCATGGGACTTCAGAAAATAATGAAACCTCTCTCAGCTTCAACGTTCTATAAGATGAGGTTAAATCTGCCCTGCCTAACTTACAGGGTGGTTGAGAGACTTAAACAAGATAATGTGCTTAATGTGTTTGTGAACCATAAAGAAAGTTCTGGGACAGTGAGAGGGAGCCTGAGATCGGGAGCATTTCCCGAAGACTGGTGGCTATAGCATCGCAGGGATGGAGACACCAGTTGCATTGAGGTGGAGCCTGCATTGGGATCTCTGAGCAGGACTGACACAGAGCCAGGGTCTGTGCTCCTTGGCTCTATTTTTCATGCAGTTAAGTACCCCTAAAAACTAAAGCATTTGCCAAATGAGCAACTTCCTTGGGAGCATTTGCTACCCATTGTTTGTAACAAGCCTCTGGAAGCCAGAACTGGCTTCTCCATCAGATACAGAGATCATGGCCTTTGGCTCAGTATTCCCAGAGTTCCCAAGAGGAAAAAAAGACACCACGAGTAACATTGGGGAAGTGGGAGCCTAGAGTAAATGCTGGCTGGGCCACCTGCTATCCATGTGATTTGGGAAAGTCACCATACCTTCTGGAACCCCAGATTCCTCCTTTGTAAATTGGCAGAGCTCTAGAAGTTCTCTCACTCAATGGGATCGACACTAGTGGTAAGTAGTTTATTTTAAAAAATTAGTTAAAGCCAGACATCATAAAAAATGATATATATTTACTTTAAACCTTGAGTTTCAACTTAAAATAGCTAAATGCACATGAATACAGGTCAATCCTTTGATGTAAGGCTGGGCCTTTTGGGTTTGCTGATTAGAATCCAAGATGGTTTCCTTCCACAAGCCATGCCAGCAATGCATAGTCAATGATTTCCTCAAAATGAAACCAGAGCTTAAAGACTCTTAAAAATAAATAGAAAAGTAAAATTCTTTTAGATGCTTATGACTTCGTTCCCAATATCCCAATATTTTACCATTGTCTCTCCCACAACTAATTTTTTGTTTGTTTGTTTCTTTTTTTTTTTTTTTTTTTTTTTTTGAGATGGAGTCTCGCTCTGTCACCCAGGCTGGAATGCGGCAGCGCGGTCTCAGCTCACTGCAACCTCCAACTCCTGGGTTCAAGAGGTTCTTCTATCTCAGCCTCCCGAATAGCTGGGATTACAGGCAGCCACCACCACACCCCGTTAATTTTCTTTTGTATTTTTAGTAGAGACAGGGTTTCACCATGTTGGCCAGGCTGGTCTAAAACTCCTGACCTCAGGTGATCCGCCCGCCTCAGCCTCCCAAAGTACTGAGTTTACAGGCATGAGCCATTGCGCCTGGCCTCCACACCTAATTTAATTGTGAATTTTGAGGGACTCACTTTTACAAGTATTTCCAAAACTTTCAACCCTGTTGTGTTTTTTTTTTTAAGAAAACACTATTTACTCTAACAATCAAACCCAGAAATGTATAGCAATTCAAGAACAATGGAAGTTTCTTATTCACATAGAGGCCAAAGCAGGTGCTCCTAATTGATGAGTGGCTCTCCTCCAAGCATGATTCAGGGATGTGTAGGCCCTTCATTTTTGGCTCTGCAATCTTCCATATGTGGCTTCCAAGGTTACTGCTTTTGAATGCATCAAGTGAGAAGAAGGGGAAAGAAAGAGGCGAAGGACGATGAAGGCACACTCGCTCTTAACTAACTACCTCAGCCTGGAAGATAAGAAGTGGAAGCATACCACTTCTGCTCACAGTCCCTTGGTAAGAAAAGTAGAGACATAGTCCCATCCAATGCAAAGGGTTCTGGGAAATGTAGTCCAACTCTGTGCCCAGCAATTAGAGGAGACAGGTTTGTGAGGACATAGCCAGTCTCTGCCACATGAGACTATGCTATCATAGAAAAACTCTCTTTATCTTTGCACTCATTTCATTCATTTATGTCAGTGCCAAGATTGGGAAACTCTTGGGGCCAGGTGCGGTGGCTTATGCCTATTATCCTAGCACTTTGGGAGGCTGAAGTGGGCGGATCAGCTGAGGTCAGGAGTTCCAGATCAGCCTGGCCAACATAGTGAAACCTCATCTCTACTAAAATAGAAAACTTAGCCTGGCATGATGGTGCACGCCCAGCTACTTGGGAGGCTGAGGCAGGAGAATCGCTTGAACCCAGGAGGTGGAGGCTGCAGTGAGCCAAGATCATGCCATTGCACTCCAGCCTGGGGAAGAGAGCAAGACTCTGTCTCAAAAAAAAAAAAAATTGGGAAACTCTGATTTATGTAATATGTGACTAAAATACATAATTACAATAATAAAAAATTACAAGGTCCATTACTAAAAGCAACTTGGTAAGTACAGTTCTAGTGATGAAGCAGAAGTGCACAGGCATCCCAGAGAGTGGCCAGCCTTGAACATTTTGTGACCATAAACATCACTGCATATGTTTTATGGAAGAGGCAGCGAACATCCGTTAATTTGATTAATAAGTTGAGTTAGTGAAAGTCTATTAAAGAGATTTTCTATTGTTCCTACCTCATAGAGTCATTGCAACTATTAATAAAATAATCCATGTAAGGTGCTTTGCATCACCTTATATCAGTCATCAATTTTAGTACTATTGTTATCCTGGGCTGGATAATTCTTTGTTGTGGGGAGATGTCCTGTGCATTGTAGGATACTTAGCAACATCCCTGGCCTCTACCAACTAGATGCCAATAACAGCCTCTTAGTTGTGACAACCCGAAACTTCCTCAGGTATGACCAAATGTCTCCTAGGGAGTAAAATATCCCACAGTGTGATCTACTGCTTTTTATGATGATGAGCACTTACTAGTAACTCCTATTTTGGTTCCCTTCTCCTCTGCATCCCCAACATCCGTACCTTGCATTCAGGATCCCTCTTCCTCGACAATTTGGTCATGAGTCCATAAGAGCAACAGCCCTTTAGTCTCTAAAGTGGGGAAGGAAAGTTGGTAACATTGAACCCACATGGCATTTTACCAGTTTTCTAATTGCTAATACATGAGTCCTAGAAAATAAGATTGTCCTCTGAGAAGTAAAGCAGTAAAACTCATACACAGTGAATGTGGGAATAAACTGAGATATTTTCTGGAAAGTGTGACTGAAGAGTTTGGAAATGCCTTAGACTCCAATCAAAGTAAGTAATTTCTGAAAGAAGAATTGTAATTTGTGGAGTGTAAACTTAATCAATTGTACCTTGTTCAAAGAAAGAAACAGAAATAGGAAATGATCTAGTTTTATTTTATTTTATTTTTTGTCGTTGTTCTCATAAGCTGCTAAAGGAGACATCCTTGTACCCACACATTACTCATGACTGTACGTGTGTAAGTTTTTCTATAGAATAAATTCCTGGAAATTGAATGAAAATGGAATACATACTACACATTGCCTTCCAAAAACTTGGTACCAATTTAGATTTCCACTCCTATCAAGGATATATGTGCATCTGGAGACAGGATAGTATAAAAAACAGATATACGTGCATAACCGTTTCCCAAAAGCCTTGATATATTATTTTGTGTTTTAACTTTAGCCAATGTGATGGGTAGAAAGTAGTAAGTTGGTCTTATTTTATTTTGCTGGTATGCTATACTTCTAAGTTGTTTGTATTCTGTTATAAATTATGTTTTAAAATGATCAGACTGGGCCAGGCGCCGTGGCTCCTGCCTGTAATCCCAGGACTTTGGGAGGGTGAGGTGGGTGGATTACCTGAGGTCAGGAGTTTGACACCAGCCTGGCCAGCATGGTGAAACCCCATTTCTACTAAAAATACAAAAATTAGCTGGAGGCGGTCGTGGGTACCTGTAATCCCAGCTACTTGGAAGGTGGAGGCAGGAGAATTGCTTGAACCTGGGAGAAGGAGGTTGCAGTGAGCCAAGGTCGCGCCATTGAACTCCAGCCTGGGCGACAAGAGCAAACTTCACCTCAAAAAAAATAAAATGATTAGACTGGTTTTTTTTTGTTTGTTTTTGTTTTTTTGTTTGTTTGTTTTTTGAGAGAGGGAGAATCTCACTTTGTCACCCAGGCTGGAGTGCAGTGGTGCGATCTCTGCTCACTGCAGCCTCAACCTGCTGGAATCAAGCAATCCTTCTGTCTCAGTAGCTGGGACTACAGGTGCACGTCAGCCACCAGGCGTGGCTAATTTTTTGTATTTTTCATAGAGATTGGATTTCGCCATGTTGCCCAGGCTGGTCTCAGACTCCCAAGTTCAAGCCATCTGCCTGCCTTGGCCTCCCCAAGTTCTGGAATTATAGGTGTGAGCCACTGCTCCTGGCTACACTGTTTTTCTTGTCAGTTTGTTGAAATTAACAGCAGTTGATTATATGTTCCAAGTATTTTATTTCAGTCTGTTACTTGCCTTTTGATTTTGTTTATAACATATTTCCTCCAAAAGAAGTATAACATTTCCATAATCTCAAATCTAGTAATCTTTTCTTTTATGGCTTCTGGTATTCATGGCTCACTTTTTTAAAAACTTTGCCTGTTATAATGTTATTTTTTATATAACCTTTTTATTTTTTTCCTTATGTTTAGATCTTTAATTCATCTGGAATTTTATTTTTTGATATAATGTAAGGTATAAATCTAAGTTTATTTTCAAATTAAAATCTAATAATTCCAATACCTCATCCCCAATAATTTAAAATGCCACCATGATAATTTTGTTTGTTTTTTCTTTTTTTTGAGACGGAGTCTCGCTCTATCGCCCAGGCTGGAGTTCAGTGGCGCCATCTCGGCTCACTGCAAGCTCCGCCTCCCGGGCTCACGCCATTCTCCTGCCTCAGCCTCCCGAGCAGCCTCCCAGGCGCCTGCCACCACGCCCAGCTAATTTTTTGTATTTTTAGTAGATACGGGGTTTCACCATGTTAGCCAGGATGTTCTTGATCTCCTGACCTTGTGATCCACCAGCCTCGGCCTCCCAAAGTGCTGGGATTACAGGTCTGAGCCACCGCACCCGGCCGATTTTTTTTTTTTTTTTTTTTTTTTTTTTGAGACAGAATCTTGCGCTGTTGACAGGTTGGAGTGCAGTGGTGCGACCTCGGCTCACTGCAACCTCTGCCTCCCAGGTTCTGCCTCAGCCTCCTGAGTAGCTGGGACTACAGGTGCATGCCACCATGCCCAGCTAATTTTTGTATTTTTAGTAGAAATGGGGTTTCACTATGTTGGTCAGGATGGTCTCAATCTCTTGACCTCATGATCCGCCCACCTCAGCCTCCCGAAGTGCTAGGATTACAGGCGTGAGCCACCACACCCCACCCCACCATGACAATTTACTAAGTTTCCATTTACATAGAGTTTCTGGACTCTGTTTTGTTGCATTGATTTATTTATTCCTATGCTAATACCATACTATTTTAATTACTGAAACTTTATGGTGTGTTTTGAGATCCTCTGTCATTATGCTTCTGTTTCTTGGCTTTTTTTTTTTTTTTTTTTTTTTGAGGCGGAGTCTCGCTCTATCGCTCAGGCTGGAGTGCAGTGGCATGATCTAGACTCACTGCAATCTTCACCTCCCAGGTTCAAGCAATTCTCCTGCCTCAGCCTCCTGAGTAGCTGGGATTACAGGCACGTGCCACCACGCCTGGCTAATTTTTTTATTTTCAGTAGAGATGGGGTTTCACCATGTTGGCCAGGCTGGTCTCGAATTCCTGACCTCAGGTGATCCGCCTATCTCGGCCTCCCAAAGTGCTGGGATTACGGGCATGAGCCACTGAGCCTGGCCTTCTTGGGTATTCTTGCGCGTTTTCTTCCACAAACTTTAAAGTTTAGCATAGTATTTCACATTGTACATGAATAAATTGATGTTCTGCTTCCAGAACACGGCAGTGCACTTTTGCTTGGTGCCTGGCAGCTGTTGCAGAGGTAAGACTCCCTGACATGTTCATTTGAATCGAGTACAGGGGCATCTTCTTTCCATAGAGACCTGGTGGACTGTTTGTCAATTTTATTTTAAGGAACTCTACTGGTTATAAGCAATAAATAACCTGCGAGTTATTTAGAAACAGCACCTTAATTGGTCTGCAGTGACCACTGCTGCAAGGTCTCTTCTGCTTAGCAGCAACTTGGGCTACACCCAACTCTACCTTTTTTTTCTTAGTTATTCTACTTCAGGGGAAAAAATGGGCTGGGTCTCCTTTGTCATGTTTATTCTCAAGTCTGACACCCAGACCTCCCTACATTCCTGTCCGAATCAAAGAATGCATTTTACGATGTAATATATCTGACATTATTTATAGGGCATGCAGTGGGGAGTGCTCTGGAGGGGCCCAGAGCCCAGGTTCCCCATTTCTCAGTTATGCACATTTTTAGTTATCAGGATCTCGATCTCTCTCTCTCTCTTTTTTTTTTTTTTTTTTTTTTTGAGGCAAAGTCTTGCTCTGTCACCCAGGCTGGAGTGCAGAAGCACAAACATGGCTCACTGCAGCCTTGACCTTCTGGGCTCAAGCAATAATCCAATCCTCAAGCAATCCAATCCAATTCTCAGCATCCTGAGTAGCTGGAACCACAGGATGGTGCCACTATGCCTGGCTAAGCATTTTTTTTTTTTTTTGGCACAGACAGGGTCTCACCATGTTGCCCAGGCTGGTCTTGAATTCCTGGGCTCAAGTGATTCCCCCTGCCTCTGCCTCCCAAAGTGCTGGGGTTACAGGCATGAGCCACCATGCCCAGCCAAGAATCTCTCTCTTTTCTAATTAAGGCATTAACTTGAGCCAAAGAAAGGGCATGGCAGAGAATTCAACTGTTGCTGTCTGGCAAGATGAATTCATAATTTCTCGATGTGGTCTCTCGCAGCTCTGAGAGTTGATACTGGCAGAGGAAAAAGGGCGTCCCACAAAGGGATTAACTATATAATTGCCCTAAATGCTTTCAACTGGGCAACCTAGACTGGAGTTTGTCCCTTTTTTGCTGTACTCTAGGACACAAGGCTGCAAGAAAGAACCAGCACAGTCAGTCTAGAGTTTTGCAGCTAGAGTCCCCCAAAGCTTTGACCTCAGTGAACCAAACCATGGCTAGGTTCCAAGAGGCTGAGGTGTCTTGTACTAAAAGCCACTGGTTACCTGTCCTGGAAGGAGGAAATCTTCACACCCACATTCCACCTCAGCATGAACCCATATTCTATCTCAACTCCACAGCCTACTTCGTATTTTCTCTGGCAGTCTACTGATTACAAACCTTCTTCCTTATCCTATTTTATGTTGTAGTAAAGTGAAACTCCCCAAATGTGGTACCATGAATGGTACAAGTGTGCTTATACCATAGTAAAATTTGTTACATGCAAGTATTAGCATTTTCTATCTGCAGTGGAAAAGTTTGGGAAGTTCTATAGTAAAGAATCATTTGGGCCAGGCGTGGTGGCTCACGCCTGTAATCCCAGCACTTTGGGAGGCTAAGGCAGGTGGATCATTTGAGGTCAGGAGTTCGAGACCAGCCTGGCCAACATGGTGAAACCCCATCTCAACTAAAAATACAAAAATTAGCCAGACGTGGTGGCGGGTACCTATAATCCCAGCTACTCGGGAGGCTGAGGCAGGAGAATTGCTTTAACCCGGGAGATGGAGGATGCAGTGAGCCAAGATTGCACCACTGCACTCCAGCCTGGGCAATAGAGTGACACTCCCTCTCAAAAAAAAAAAAAATCATTTGAGCTTACTTTAGCAAAAAAAAGATGGATTTATTGAAAGACTTACAGAGGTGTTTCATAACCAAGAACAGAAAACAAATGAGCACAGAATAAAACAGAAACTGGCAACTTTCTCTGTCCCTCTCCCAATGCTACACCCCAATAGACTTTTTCTGTTTCATTTGCTTATAAAACCAGACATATCTGCCTCAGACCTTAATTCACATAATTTTCCAGCTCCAGACAGTTTAAGGTCTCTGAGCCTCCTTATTTTAAAACCCAAGAGACAATTTAATTGACCTAGGATGAGTCAGGTGGCCACTCTACCCATGCCTGACCTAAAATACAATGACAAGTGTCACAGGGTTTCATATCCCACCAGCTTCCTGTTGACAAAGGGGGTTAGGCTAACCTAAGCCTGGCAGAAAAAATGACCCACATATCTGCCATGAAGGTTGAGGAAACTGCAAGGCTGAGGTCCCTTCCTGGTCCTCAGTGGACTCACCAGGGTGAAGGCCACTTTATGAAGCCTCTGAGTAGAGAGCCACTGGCCTTCCCGAGGGACTCCTCCATGAAAGCCCAAGAGAGGCATCTGGTTTTTAAAACTCCAGCTATCCTAATTGTGTCAATGTAGAGTAGGAAGGGGACAAGGACAATCATCTTAGAAACCTTCTGCCAGGCCAGGCATGGAGGCACGCACCTGTAATCCCAGCTACTTGGGAGGCCGAGGCTCGAGGATCACTTGAGCCAAGGAATTCAAGGCCAGACCAGCAACACAGTGAGACCTTGTCTCTAAAAACAAACAAAATCCCTCTGCTGGGGGCAGAGTGAGAATTAATATTGAGTAGGTAGTATGTGTTGATGGCATCAGTCCTGGAGTATCCAGCAATTTGAGTATTTCCATTAGGGAGAATTTGTTGCAATTCCTCTTGATTTGTCCTAATATTTTGAATTTTCTCTTTCTTATGTATTATTATTGTTGTAGGTATTAGCATTTGGTGGAGTTGGGGGTCTCCCTATGTTACCCAGGCTGGTCTTGAACTCCTGGGCTCAAGCAATCCTCCCGACTTGCCCTCCCAAAGTGATTGGATTACAGGCATGAGCCACTGCGCCTGGCCGATTTTCTCTGTCTGTGGAGCACAACCCTAATAGTCACTACTAATAGGGTTAAGAATCTGTCATAGGAGAAGTGGAAAATGCCTGGATCCATTTCAAATAAATCACTACAGTTAAGTGGTGGGGTAACTCAAGAATCCAGGATCACCAGGGACTGAGTAAGTACTATTGAGTAACTTGTCATGGAGAATAATCCATTCTCCTAAGGAGGCATGTGTCCCACATCTATGGTATCACATGCAACTGAGGCGCTTATTAAAATGCAGATTCCTGGTCTGGCCCCAGATCTACCAAATAAGTCAATGGGGGTGAGACAGAACATTTGCATTTTAACAAGCTTCCTGGGTAAGACTAATGCACACTCACATTTGGGAACCTCTGTCCTAAACCTTGAAGCTTGAGATCCTTGGAACGAGCCACCCCACACCAACACTCAGAGTCCAATAACCATTTGAGAATGTGATAAAAGTGGTGGTACCTCATTCAGAAACATGTATACAAATGGCTACATATAGCAGGTGCTTACAATTTCAGGGGGCTCACTGATTCCCTGAAGCTCTTCTGCAAACCCAAATGAAGATTCCCTGCACTGGAAAATACAGACTCTGAAATGTCTTGAGGGAAGAGAAAGAGGATGATATTAACAGTTTAGGGAAAGGGGGCAGGGAAAGGAACCAGTTATACAAACTCATTAAGATTCTGAGCTGGGCGTGGTAACCCGTGCTTGTGGTCCCAGCTACAGGTTGAGGATGAGGTGGGAGGATCGCTTGAGCCCAGGAGGTCAAGGCTGCAATGAGCAGCCTCTGCTCTCCAGCCTGGGCCACAGATCAGATAGACCTTGTCTCTAAAAAAAAAGAAAAAAAGAAAGAAAGAGAAACAAGAAAAGAGAAGAAAAAAGAAAGATTCTGGAGTCAGGAAAGTTTTGATCCCAACCCTGACTCAGCCACTTACCAGCTGTGTGACAGCATCAAGTTTCTTAATCTCATTAGGACTCACTTTCTTCATCTGTCACATGAGAATTATATGTCCCAAAAGGTTTGTAAAGAATCTTAAATGAGGCTGGGCGTGGTGGCTTATGCCTGTAATCCCAGCACTTTGCGAGGCCAAGGCGGGCGGATCACTTGAGGTCAGGAGTTTGAGACCAGCCTGGCCAACATGGTGAAACCTCGTCTCTACTAAAAATACAAAAAATTAGCTGGGCGTGGTGGTGATCACCTGTAATCTCAGGAGGCTGAGGCACGAAAATCACTTGAAGCTGGGAGGCGGAGGTTGCAGTGAGCCGAGATGGCGACACTGCACTCCAGCCTCGGCAACAGAGTGAGACTTGGTTAAAAAAAAAAAAAAAGGAATTTTAAATGAGATAACATATTTGCATCTCGTAGCATAACAGTTGACACATCATTAATGAGAGAGAGAAGTGATATGGAATTTATTTTTAGGTCAACATGTCAGTAAATGATCAGGTTATTATTCAAGGAACAGAAGACAAGAAGACACACTCCCTAGGAAGTCCCAGCAAGAATATTCATGCAGGTAAGATAGCTGTGAGGAAACATTTCTACAAATCACAACTGTCCTGTCCACCCATTGTGCTATCAAAATTTCCGTTCAGAGAGAGACTTTCCTTATCATTGTTAGAAAAATCAGCATGCAAATGTGATGAGCATAGAAGAAACAAAGCTGGTGAAATAAACACATGCGATAAAAGGACAGAGAAAGCAGAATAAATGTAGGAAAGAATCTAATTCTCCAGAACTTCAGAGCCAAAAGGGGCCTCGGGGATCAGCTGACAAACCCCTTAGTAACAGAACCTTCCCAGCAGCCTTTATTTCCCCACATCTCTCTTACATTTTGCCAAAGATAATATTCACTTTGATGTTGCAAAAGCTTTAGTTTGCTTGTTGTGTTTCCTCTCTCCATAATGGTATGTTAGGCCATCCTTTTGTATTGGCAAATTGGTCTGACAAAAAGAGCATTATAAATTGTGAAAATACAAACAAATTCTCCCAGCTCTGAAATTCTCCTTGGACTTCAGTGGTTGACACAAATAATTTAGAGGTGATGGAGTTCCTTGAGTGCAGAGGGTGACAGAAGTTCATTCTTCCTCTGGCAAAGAGAGAGAGAGAGAGCTGTCTCCCTGCAGTTTGGGAGACTGGGCAACCACTCTCTAGGGATGCTACAGAGCTTGCTGTCCTCCCTCCTTCCAGACAGGTTGGCAGTCCTGCTGAAAGCTGACTCCTCTTTCCTGAAAGTCTATGGGGTGGGGGTGGGGTGGAGGAGTGCTATGCATCCAGGTGCCCCGCTCTGGTGTAACCTGAGACTAGAAGGCAACTATATTCCAGGCTTTTGAGAATACTGAGTCAGGGTAATGGGGATGACAGGACAAAGGCCAGGCAGGACATGCTGGAATTTGTTTTTGTTTTGTTTTGTTTTTTGAGACAGAGTTTCACTCTTGTTGCCCAGGCTGGAGTGCAGTGGCGCTATCTCAGCTCACTGCAACCTCCACCTCCCGGGTTCAAGTGATTCTTCTGCCTCGGCTTCCCAGGTAGCTGGGATTACAGGCGCCCACCATCATGCCCAGCTAATTTTTGTATTTTTATTTTTAGTAGAGATGGGGTTTCACCATGTTGGCCAGGCTGGTCTCGAACTCCTGACCTCAGGAGATCCACCCACCTCGGCCTCCCAAAGTGCTGGGATTACAGGCGTGAGCCATTGCACCCAGCCAAGTTCCACTGTTCTTGACAGCACCACCTTGAGCATGCCTTGCAGGGACCCTTTCCTGTGCTTCCCCACTGCTCTCCAGGAGCTGTCCTGGGCATAGACAAACAGAGCCAGTGCCATCTTCCCAGAGCCTCTTTAGAAGGACCCAACAGGATTTGCTCATATTTCATTCTCATCTGTTTAGAAAGGAAATCAAAACAACTGCACAGGCCACGTGCAATGGTTCACACCTGTAATTCCAGCACTTTGGAAAGCTAAGGCAGAGGAATCCCTTGAGCCTAGGAGTTCAAGACTAGCCTAGGTAACATAGCAGAACCCTGTCTCTACAAAAAACTTGAAAATGAGCTGGGCATGGTGGTGTGTGCCTGTGGTCCCGACTACTTGGGAGGCTGAGGCAGGAGTATCACTTGAGCCCAGGAGTTCAAGGAGGCAGTGAGATATAGTCATGCCACTACACTCCAGCCTGAGCAACAGAGTGAGATCCTGTCTCTAAGAAATAACTAAAAATAAAGTTTTTTTTAAAAAAACTGCATAATGCAAGGAGGCTACTTTTGAAGCAACCATGGTTGTTTCAGCGACCATGATCCTTATCATAAAGGCTCCCTTACTTTCCTACCTGGGCAAAAACCAGTAACCCAACCACAACCTTGCCTTCCATTCCGGCCAGCTGTGGAGTGAGAGATTCTCTAAGTTTCAGGATTTTCCAGTGAGCTGGTGGAAAAGATTCCTGATGTTTGGTGAGTTTCTGTCAAGAAATCAAATCATGGCTGGGCATGGTGGCTCACGTCTGTAATCCCCACACTTTGGGAGGCCAAGGTGGGAGGATCACTTGAGACCAGGAGTTCAAGACCACCCTGGGCAACATAGCAAGTCCTTGTCTCTACGAAAATAATTAAAAAGAAATACATTCATGATTTAAAAAAGAAGAAATCAGATCAGTCAAATGTGCACTACATTGCTCATCTCCATGCCCAGGGAGTCATTTATTAATTTTTTGAAAACATGATTGAGGTCCTACTCTATGCCAGTTGCTGGGTTAGATGCTGAGGAGACCAAGATGAGTAAGACACTGCTCCTCCTCACATCTTGGGAACAGAAACTTAACAGCTGACTCCAATATGATAAAGTGTTGCGACTTGTATTTGGTTTCAACCCTTGGGCAAAAAGAACTTAGTAGTTCATGTAAACTAAAAAAGCATAAATAATCAAAATGTTAATCCAAAAACCAGGCTCTAAATATTTTAAAGAGGTTTATTCTGAGCCAATATGAATGAACATGGCCCAGGAACACAGTCTCAAGAGGTCCAAGATAGTGCACGGGAAGCAGTTGGGGATTACAGGTTTTTTTTGTTTTTTTTTTTTTTTGAGACGGAGTCTCGCTCTGCTGCCAGGCTGAAGTGCAGTGCAGTGGAGCAATCTCAGCTCGCTCCACTTCCCGAGTTCAAGTGGTTCTCCTCCCTCAGCCTCCCAAGTAGCTGGGATCACAGGCACATGCCACCACACCCGGCTAATTTTTTTTTTGTATTTTTAGTAGAGATGGGGTTTCACCATGTTGGCCAGGATGGTCTCGATCCCTTGACCTCGTGATCTGCTCGCCTCGGCCTCCCAAAGTGCTGGGATTATAGGTGTGAGCCACCACGCCCGGCCTACAGTTTGGTTTTATACATTTTAGGGAGGCAGGACTTGCAGGCAAAGTCATAAATCAATACATGGAATGTATACATTGGTTCAGCCTGCAAAGGCGGATATCTTGAAGTGGGGGAGCTTACAGGTTATAGGTGGATTCAGAGATTCTTTAATTTGCCATTGGCTAAAGGAGTAAAGCTCTGTTTAAAAATCTGGAGTCAGCAGAAAGGAATGTTTTAAGATAAGGAATTCTATTAACCAATACACTGGGCTGCAGCAACCTGTAGGAGTGTGTGAATTACCCCTTGTCTGGCATGGCCTTAGGTCCTGTTTATAATTCGGTATCTTATTGTCACGAAGAGTCCATTTTATTAGTCTTATGATCTCTGTTTTAGCATTAATGCTGGCCAGTTGTGCCTAAACTCCAAAAGGGAGAGGGTATAATGAGGTGTGTCCAACCTCCCTCCCCTCATGGCCAAGAACTCAGTTTTTCAGGTTTCTCTGGGGTCACCTGGGCAAGAGGGGGTCCATTTAGTTGGTTGGGGGGCTTAGGATTTTATTTTTAGTTTATGAAAACAAGGCAGGCCGGGCTTGGTGGCTGACACCTGTAATCCCAGCACTTTGGGAGGCCGAGGAGGGTGGATCACCTGAGGTCAGGAGTTCAAGACCAACTTGACCAACATGGTGAAACCCCATCTCTGCTAAAAATACAAAAATTAGCCAGGCATAGTGGTATGCACCTGTAATCCCAGCTACTTGGGAGGCTGAGGCAGGAGAATTGCTTGAACCAGGGAGGCGGAGGTTGCAGCAAGCCGAGATCGCACCACTGCACTCTAGCGTGGGAGACAGAGTGAGACTCTGTCTCAAAAAAAAAAAGAAAAGAAAAAAGAAACATGGCAAAGGCAAGGAGCCCCTCAAGAACAACTGGAATTTAATATTTGAACACTGTCAGCACTCTCTGCTTCCGCCTGCGCGTCTACCTCATTCTCTCTCAATAGAGGCCAGTCCTGTCCATGTGTTGGAAATCAAGGCTGCCACCAGTCCCTGAGCTTAATGTCTCAAACTCCAACACCTGAAAGCACTTAATTCTTTCTTACTGTTTGAAAAATTCTTAGGAAGCTGCACTGGTTGGTCCATCTTTTGTCAGATGTAACCCTTGGTCGAACCATCTGGCGAATAATACGGCCACTCTTACAGAAGCCATTTGCTTGTGGGGGAGAAGGGACAGCAGAATCGGGTAAAGGAGGGTGAGTGTTTGTAAGTCAACCCCAAGAGACGAAACATCATTTTCTTCCCTGAGTAGGGTTGCCAGACATAATACAGGATGCCCAAATATTGCATGGGACATAATTACACTAAAAAAAGTATTCATTTATGTTTATCTAAAATTCGAATGTAACCGGGTATCCTGTATTTGTATTTATTAAATCTAGTAACTCTATTCCTGGGGCACTTTAAGGAAAAAGGAAATATCTGGTTTCTGGATGGTATGAAGGCAGTGCTGCGCAGTGGCTACATTTTCCAGTTTAGATTCCTAAACTGGAAGATTTGGACAGCCATGCTTTGGAAGGACAGGACCCCAGGCCACAGCTATCATGCAGGTGACATACAATTTCCTACCTATTAGGGATAGTGCAAGCTTTCTCTCACCTCTTCAAGAAAGTATATTAAAATCAAGAGAAAGTGACAGTATTTTAGGGCTAACTTTGAGCTTGCTCTAATTTATTATTTATGTAAACCCTGCTCAAAATTCAGAGTAGTAAGAATTCATGGGTCAAGAGCACTCTGACCTAACTGCTATCTATCTTGTTGCCGGGGCCACAACCCTGGGTTCTCAGGAAAGACACTCTAGTCTGATTGGGTCACATGCCTAAGCTTTGGAGAGGGCAGACATTAGTGCAATGGAACAGGCAGTAGGCACTCCCAGAAGGGAAGCAAGATGCTGCGAGCAGAAAAAGGCAGAAAGGATGCTTGGGGAGGCAAAACCGGCAGACATCCCTTCTGATGATGTCGGAGAGTTCTGTTCACATTGAAGAATTGGTGCTCTCCTGTCCCTGCCCTGTGGTGCTCCAGACCATAGAAGGGAAAGCTGGTCAGCTGAAGGCTTGACTGATCACCAAGCAGTCCCCCAGGTGGTTGCTTTCCACAGTGATGTCATGACAACCAGGCCTACCCCAGTCAGGTGTAAAGGTGAAGAAAGAGAATTGCTGTTGCTAAGAATGTTCAAAACACTTCTGGAGCAATTCACCTTTTAAAAATAAATTAGAGCTGGGCACGGTGGCTCACACCTGTAATCCCAGGACTTCAGGAGGCTGAGGCAGGTGGATCACTTAAGCTCAGGGGTTTGAGACCAGCCTGGTCAACATGGTGAGACCCTGTCTCTACAAAAAGACAAAAATTAGCTGGGTGTGGTGGTGGCACACGGCTGCAGTCCCAGCTACTTGGGAGGCTGAGGCAGGAGGGTTGCTTGAGCCCAGGAGGCAGAGGTTGCAGTGAGTCGAGATCACACCATTGCATTCCAGCCCGGGCAGCAGAGTGAGACCCTGTCTCAAAATAAATAAATAAATTAGAAACAATTCAAGTCTACATCCTTAATAATGTCATTCTGATTTCCTTGCATTGCAATAGGCATTCCTGAGTGGGAAGGAAGGGTGAGGAGACAGCCAGTGCACAGACTGTTGCAAACAACTGGCCACCACAGCCAGCAGGAAGTGGCCGCCACTCCTACTCCACATGAATTATTGTATTGCTTTACTTCCCTGCAAAACTGGGGTGGGTGGGGTTGTGTCTTCATCTGAGTAGACTCATAGGTGTGGGTCTTTTGTGTGTGCATCATCCATCACCTGGTGTGTGACAGAGACAACGAGAGGCTTGAGGGCAGGTACCTGGACTTGGCCCCAACCACCTGACCTCGCCTGAATTGAGGATAGCGAAGATAAAGGAGACGAGCCTGGGTCTAGGATATTTAGAGTCAGGACGACCATCCTGCTTACTGACTCATTGGGTAGCAGTCTCTGTACTAGGGAGGCTGAGGCTGGAGAATCACTTGAGCCCAGGAGTTGGAGGCTGCAGTGAGCCGTGATCGCATCATTGCACTCCAGTCTGGGTGACAGGGAGAGACCCTGTATCAAAAAGAGAAATAAAATAAATAAATAAATAAACAAATAAGGCTGGGTGCTGTGGGTCAAGCCTGTAATCCCAGCACTTTGGGAGGCCGAGGAGGGTGGATCACCTGAGGTCAGGAGTTGGAGACCAGCCTGGCCAACATGGTGAAACCTCATTTCTACTAAAAAATACAAAAATTAGCCGGGCATGCTGGTGCCTGCCTGTAGTCCCAGCTACTCAGGAGGCTGAGGCAGGAGAATCACTTGAACTGGGAGGCGGAGGTTGCAGTGAGCTGAGATCACGCCATTGCACTCCAGCCTGGGTGACAGTGCGAGACTCCATCTCAAAAAATAAATAAATAAATAAAACAAAATAAATAAGATGACTGCTCCAGCTCCCGCCATCACATCCACAGTCCGGTCAGTGAGAAGGGTACAGGGAAGGTGGAGCATCTGCCTCGGCCTTTAGGGAACTACCCAGAAGTGGCATTCGTCCCTTCCACTCATATTGCATCGGCTAAAACTCCATCACAAGGCCACAGCTCGCCTCACAGGAAGCTGGGAAGTGTAGTTTTGAGCCAAGAAGCCAGATGCCTTGCTGAGCTTTGAGCTTCATTATAAAGGAAGAAGGAATGGGTGTGTGTCTAGGAGCTGTAACCATGCCCTGTTATGTTGTTGTTTCTGCGTTTCCCCTGCATGCAAAGCCAGGACTTACTTCCCAGAGTTCATGCCTGAAGACTCTCAGATCTCCAAAGGCAGCGCAGGAAGGTAGTGCAGGAATGTGGAAAGGCTTGCAGCGTTTGGACGGAGACAGGACCCTGCGCTGGAGTGGGCGAGGAGGTGGGAAACACCCTCCCGTCATGCTCTTCTCGCTCAGCTTTGGGAGGCTGAGCTTTGACACCTCCTTCCCTCCCTCTCACCCCAGCCTCTGCGGCCCCCAATTCAGCTGACTCCCATCCAGTCTTCTTCTTTCTTCTCCCACCTCAGGTGCACCTTCCTGGGCCACACCCCCAGCCCCCTCACACTGTGGGAAAATCCAGGTATCCAAAATGGCAAGCCAGATTTTCCTGCGGTGGCGTGGCAGCTGCCCCTTGGAAAAGAGGCAGCCCCCTTCAGCTACTGAGAGAAAGCTGTACTCCCCAGCAGCTGGTCCCAGCAGGCCCCTCACAGATGCAGGTCCTCCTCCTCACAGTGGCACAGCTCCTTCCATTCCCTCAGCCCCGGGAGCAGGAGAGACGGAGAGGAGGGGGCAGTGGGCTGGGCCCCAGGATCTTCCCTAAGACATCAAGCCTGACTGGAACACTCATTTCTCTTTGACCTTCTCTTCTGGCCTGGCCCAACCTACAGACCATGTCACCTCCACACATTTTCCTTTCATAGCTACCCCTCTCCCACCTCTCCAGTCTCTCACCACCCTCTCAGAAAGCTCTCCCTGGCCCTGGCAGGCATCTGCCTGCTCTAGCAAACCCCACCCCCGCAACTTTCTGGCTGGGGCCAGCCAGGGCCAGTAACCCCCTCCCTGAGCCACGCCTTCTTAATATAACCCTCTGAAAGAGGAAAGCTAGCTAACAACCCTGTTCTGCTTTGATGAGCTGACCCCGCTTTTTCCAGTCACAAGGGCAGGCTGAGGCCAAATTTTCCATCCATGGAGAAAGTCCAGGGTTGGGGGATGGGGGGTGGCCCCATAGGCCAATCCGCCTCCCACTTGCTTGGTTTGAATTAGTGGGTGCCTTAAAAAGGAGCAAATGCAGCCTGGTTCTCAGAGCTGGGCCAGGCGCAGCTCAGGGAGCCAGGCAGAAAGCCGAGAGGAGAACACATTTCATTTTAATGGGAAACAGATTTGAGAGGGGAAAAAATGAGAATGAGAGAGGAATGAAACCCCGGCACTCCCAGGAGAGCAGCTGGAGGTCTGCCTGGTGTGACCTCCCATGACGATCCTGCTCACCACCCTCCCGGCCCCACCTCCTGCATGCCACAGTGTTGCACGTCCATGTGCACAGCCCTCTCACTGCCCTGTCCCTCATCGGACCCCCACAGTAGCCCTGAGCGGTAGGCTGAGCAGAGTCACTAGCCCAGCGGATCAACCAGATCCTGTTGTTCAAGGGCAGCGGCACGAGAGAGGAGGGGCACCAGAGGCCTGAGAATTAGAAACTCAGTGACGGGATCAGGTCTGCAAGAGATTTGCATGTATTTGCCTAAGTTATGCAGCAGCACAGACTCTTTGTCTATATTTAGATGTAATGAAATAATCGTATTCTTTTAAAAACTGAGATGGGGCTATTTTAAGGCAGCCAAAGATTACCTGTTTATGTATGATGCATGTAAAACTGTATGGAGAATTACGTGAACACCTATAATCACTCAGGACCCTGGAGAAAATTCTCTTTTCCATTTCCTCCACTAGTGGATTTCTCACCTTGTAAAGTGGGGAAGTGGGATACCTCCCCATTTGACAAGGCAAGAAAATGCCCCCTATCTCCCCAACAATTAAACCCTAAGGCTATTGTGTTTGCCATTAAGAGAAGCATTGGCCCCAGTCTAGGGATAAGGGAAATCAGGCAGGGTGCAGGAATACAAGAGAATCATGAGTTTAGTCTGCAAGAAGTGTATTTTCTCCTTTCCCCTTTCTAGTCCCACATGGAGCTTTCATGATGCCTGCAGGTGAGGGCCTTGTGGGTGCCAGGCACTGTATGGGGTGCAAGGGTTTCAGACATGAGTCTGAACATGGCCTCAGAGTCCTCAAAACAGGTGCGTAAAGTGATCCTATCAGTATAAAATAGTAAGACAGAATTATGTACAGAGGAGGAGTGCTTGGCCTGGGGAGTGGGGGTGGGAATTCCATGAGTGTTTCCAGGAGAAAAAAAGAAGCAAATGGAGCACAGTCTTGGCAGATGAGTAAGAGTTGGCGGGGTGGTGACAGCACGGAGGCATGGAAAAGCAAAGCAGGAGACTGTCCTGGAAATTCAGGCAGAGGCCGGTGGGGCAGAGGAGGGCCTTGTGTGTCTGCCAAGGGTTGGCTCACCATCCTGCAGGCCAAGGCAGCTTTCGGGTGAAGAGTGCTTCGGTCACCTTTAACATGGGTGTTTTGGGCTGCACGGTGGGCTGGAAGGCTGGAGAGAGGTCAGAAAGGAAGCTGCTGCAAACATCCAGAAGGTGATGATGGTCTGAGCAATGGTACCATTGGGAGGGCAGAGGAGGAGAGAGCAGGATTGAGAAAAATTGGAAAGGGAATCAATAGGACCGAGTTAGTAGGTGACTCTAGAGGGCAACCGTAAGGAGGAGGAAAGAGGGGCATGAAGGAATCCAGCAGACTGACATTGTGTTCTCTGTTGGAGAGATCTGGAAGTCAGAGAGGATGAAGCTGTTCAGGAGACAGGAGAAGAGTAAAATCTTTTTTTTTTTAACCTTCCAATGGCCAGATAGAGCTGTTGGGCAACCCCTCAGCTGAGATGCTCCCCTGATTGGAGACTCCCTAGCTCCAGCTGCTTGCAAGCTCAGGCAACATCCTGCAGCCTCTGGAGGATTTAATTCAATTCAACAAATGCTTATTGAACAGTTACTCCACATAGGGAAAGGAGAATCTAATGATGATTGAGTACTTAAATTGTGTTCACAGAGTGTTAAGTGCATTTACATGTAATCTCATCTCTAGTCACCATCCCCTCATCCCTGAGAGGCCAAGTCATTACCCTCCAGGGGCCTGAGAGGTCGAGTCATTTGTCCAAGTTTGGGTGGTAAGTAAGCGGCAGTGCCAGGAGGCAAACCCACAAGTAGTGCCTTATCACTAAGTCACATTGTTACACAATGAAGCCAGGAGGTTGCAAGTGACGAATACACTATTTTAAGCAAATCAAGGAATGCATTGGCTTATTTAACTAAAAAGCACATGAGTCAGCTGGCTCCAGGCACAGCTAGATCCAGGAGCTCAAAAGATGCTGTCAGTTCTCTCTTGCACTTGCTCATAAATGAGTAAATCCATCTCACTCCCATTTATGTTCATCTTGGCTCATCCATAAGGCAGCATAGCACGCAGAGCATAGCATGACTGTTTTGGAGTCCCACAGCCTGGGTTCCAATCCGGACTCCACCACCTAACTAGCTGGATGATTTCAGATGAGCTGCTTAACTTCTCAGTGCCCCTGTTTCCTTGTCTCTAAAATTGATATAATAATATTACCTCTTAGGATTTTTGTGAGGAGTAAATTAGATCGTCCACACAGTGTGCTTGGAGCAGGGTCTGATACAAAATCCGCACCCCAACATATCAGCCATTGTTCTTTCCATCTCTGCCTCTTTTGAGGTGGGTCTCATTCTCTCCTATGTTAGATGCCTTCTTCCGTGTAGCCCAGAGAGATGGCCCCAAGCAACCCCACCTTACATCATCCTTTCAGCCTCTGGTCTCAGGAAAAGAGCTCTTTCTCTGTGTATGGAGGTAGCATGCCCATCCCTGCAGCCATCTCTGAGGCCAGGGGCTGCATCTTCTGTGCTGCTCTGTGGAGGTGGAGGTGGGGCACCATGACTCACAGCCCCCCGTGGGTCATATAGAAGTAGAAGAAGGAGGGTTCCTTAAAAGATGGGATGCTGTGAAGACAAAATAACATATGTCCACTGTTCTGTGCTAGTTGCCGTTATGACAGAGTGTGACAAAAAGTGAGTACGGCAGAGTCTCCTCTCCATGAAAACTTATATCAAAGTAGGAAAGACGAGACAAGGACACATTTATCCAGAAGGCAGACTGTGACAAACTCCATGAGAGAAGGACTGTTAAGATCCCCTGCAATTTTCAGGAAAGAAAAAAATCACACATGGTTGGGTGAATCAGTAATGAGTTTGATGAAGGAGTTTGGCTCCTGGGGATGGTGTCCATTCAGCAAGTACAATAGCGTAGGGGAAGAGGACCTTCTAGTTTGATAGCATAGGGTAGAAAAAGGAATCCTGAGCAATGAGGCTGGAAGGCAGAGCTGGCAGCAGCACATGCACAGAAAGCAGGCGGAGGTCAAGGACTGTTAACTCAGGGGACTAGAAAAGAAACAGCCATACACAGATATTGAATTATCAAGACTGAAGGCAGGGGATGCATGATGTGGAAGAGGCTGTGAGTCAGATGCTGAGGTCATTTAGAAAGTTCTGGGCCGGGCTTGGTGGCTCATGCCTGTAATCCCAGCATTTTGGGAGGCCGAGGTGGGTGGATTGCCTGAGGTCAGGAGTTCGAGACTAGCCTGGCCAACACGATGGCCCATCTCTACTAAAAATACAAAAATTAGCCAGGTGTGGTGGCAGGCACCTGTAGTCCCAGCTACTTGGGAGGCTGAGGCATGAGAATCGCTTGAACCTAGGAGGTGGAGGTTGCAGTGAGCCCAGACCGCACCACTCCACTTTAGCCTGGGCAACAAAAGTGAAATTCTGTCTCAAAAAAAAAAAAAAAAAAAAGAAAGTTCTGGATTTATGAGCATCATCATTCAGGATGAGGAGAAGCCAGGAAAAGCAGATGGCCAGATGGCCAGATGGCAAAGATTTTAAAGAAAAATCTTAATTCTTAATCCCCAGTGCCCTCCAGAGACTTCTTTAATTTTTTTTTCTTTCCCTTTTTTTTTTTTTTCTTTTTTCTTTTTTGAGGCTGGGTCTTGCTCTGCTTCCCAGGCTAGAATGCAGTGGTGTGATCTCAGCTCACTGCAGCCTTGACCTCCTGGGCTCAAGCAATCCTCCTGCCTTAGCCTCCTGAGTAGCTAGGACTACATGTGCATGCCACCACACCCAGCTATTTTTTTTTTTTTTAATTTTTTGTAGAGATGATGTTTTCCTATATTGCCCAGGCTAGTCTCAAACTCCTGGGCTCAAACAATCCTCCTGCCTTGGCCTCCAAAAGTGCTAGGATTACAAGCATGAGCCACCATGCCTGGCCTCCTCCAGAGACTCACGTGAATTCCAATTAATCTAATTCAAGAGAAGTTAGCTTTCTAGAAGTAATTTTATATCTGTGATAGGTGTGCAATCATTCATTCATTTATACACTCATTTAACATTTGTTCAGCATTGTGCTGGGCTCTGAGAACACAAATAAACAAGGCTTGGGCCCTGCCCTCAAGGATCTCTCTGTCCGGTGAAGCTAGCACTCTGTTTATACCTGCTGGCCACACACCCTATACTGGTGATCTGTTATGTGCTCAGCTCCCCACCAGACTGGGCATTCCATTTTATAAATGTTCATTGACTGATTAATTCTATCTCTAGCCCCAGTCTCCACTTGGATTGAGAGACTAAATACAACAATTTCATTTCCATTGTGTCTGTTTTGTCCATAGTCCAGAAGTCATGGAGAGCAACAGGGAGAAAGCTGAGGCTTCTTCATGGGAATAGCTGCCCTTGGAAAGTGCTGGTTCTGTCGGAAGGAAAGTTATGCAGGGAAGGGAAGGGAAAGCATTATCTAAGGCAAAGCCAATGACAGAGGAGAGTCCAACGGGCCTGTGTAGGGGCAGGGAAAATGTGTGGGCACTGGTAGGGGATAATTGTGCTGGGGACTGAGAGCTCAAAGACAGAGACCAGACAAGGGGTTTGTGCTTAAAGCAGTGAGAGGAAGACAGAGGCTGCAGGTGAGCAGCTGGCAATAGGGAAGCAGGGGAGAGAAAGGACTGAGAGGGAGAATTTTATAGTAGCACACGTGGGAGGATAAAGATGACCAAGAACTCTGACATTCCCTCCATCAAGAAATGGGCTCTATCACCACTCCCATTGACTCTGGGCTGGCCTGTGACTGCTTTGGCCAATAGAATATGACAGCAATTGCAGAGTGCAGTGGCACACACCTGCAGGCCCAGCTACAGGATCACTTGAACCTAAGAATTTGAGGCTGTACTGTGCTGTGATTGAGGCTGTGAGTAGCCACTGCACTCCAGCCTGGGCAACAGAATGAGACCCTGTCTATTTGTTGTTGTTTCAGACGGAGTTTCACTCTTGCTGCCCAGGATGAAATGCAATGGCATGATCTTGGCTCACTACAACCTCTGCTTTCTGGGTACAAGTGATTCTCCTGCTTCAGCCTCCCGAGTAGCTGGGATTACAGGCATGTGCCACCATATCTGGCTAGTTTTTTATTTTTAGTAGAGACAAGGTTTCTCCATGTTGGTCAGTCTGGTGTCAAACTCCTGACCTCAGGTGATCTGCCCACCTCGGCCTCCTAAGGAGCTGGGATTACAGGCATGAGCCACCATGCCCAGCCTGAGACCCTATCTTTAACAAAGAAGAAGAAGAAGAAGAAGAAGAAGAAGAAGAAGAAGAAGAAGAAGAAGAAGAAGAAGAAGAAGAAGAGGAGGAAGAGGAAGAGGAAGAGGAAGAAGAAGAAAGAAGGAAGAAGAAGAACAAGAACAAGAACAAGAAAAAGAAGAGGAAGAGGAAGAAGAAGAAATGCTGCCTTTGAGGAGGCTGGCAGCTTTCTCCTGGGTCTCCTGGAGCATTGAGCAGGTCTATCTTCAACCCTGATCACCTGTAGTCTTGAGTCATGATATTGCCCTTCACCATTGGACTCCCAGCATTGCTTAGTGCTGAGCCCAAATAGGTTAGCACAGACCCCAGCATTGGTGTACTCTTTCCCTCACCCTTCTGCATTTCCCAAAGCAACTGACCTTTCTGCTGGGCTAGGCTTTACTTCCCAAACTCCTCCCAGTGGTGATTTTCTTGCATCCTATCTAGTCCTGCACTTGCCCTTGGAATCCCAAGGCAAGTTTAAATGTAGGTTAAGCTTCTTTTCTCTTTTGATTTTTTTTCTTTCTTTCTTGTATTGGTCCGTTCTCACACTGCTACAAAGAAATACCTGAGACTTGGTAATTTATAAAGGAGAGAGGTTTAATGGACTCACAGTTCCACATGGCTGGGGAGGCCTCAGGAAACTTACAATCATGGTGGAAGGTAAAGGGGAAGCAAGGTTGGACTTTCTCACATGACCACAGGAGAGAGTAGTGCAAGGAGAAAAGGGGGAAGAACCCTTATAAAACCATCAGATCTCATGAGAACTCACTCAATATCATGAGAACTGCATGGGGGAAACAGTCCCCATGATCCAAACACCTCCCATCAGGTCTCTCCCTAGACATGTGGAGATTATGGGGATTACAATTCAAGATGAGATTTGGGTAGGGACACAGTCAAACCATATAATTTCCCTTCCTTCCTTCCTTCCTTCCTTCCTTCCTTCCTTCCTTCCTTCCTTTCTTTTTTTGACAGAGTCTCGCTGTGTTGCCCAGGCTGGAGTACAGTAGCATGACCTCAGCTCACTGCAGCCTCAATCTCCCAAGCTCAAGTGATCCTCCAGCCTTAGCCTCCCTAATAGCTGAGACCACAGGTGCACACCACCATACCTAGCTAATTTTTTAAATTTTTTTATAGAGATGGAGTCTCCCTATGTTACCTAGGCTGGTCTTGAACTCCTGGGCTCAAGCAATCCTCCAGCGCTGGCCTCCCAAAGTGTTGAGATTACAGATGTGAGCTACCACACCTGACCCCATTTGATTTTCTTAGGGTAATCTGAGTCCCTGTCATTCTTCTCCCCTACCACCTTAACCCCTCCTTGAACAGGTATCTCCAGTGGGCACCAGCAGGGTCCACTGCATCAGTCCTGGTGCTCATGTTTCTAAGGTGACAGTGTGCTCCAGGCTTGCCCTATTTCTTCTATCCCTGAGTCTGATTGCTCCTGAATCCCTTGGATTCCAGTTGTTGCCCCAGTTACTACTGCAGGCCTTTTATCTTCTGCAAGCTGCTCTCCACTCTTTTTCTCTTGACTCATATTCTGGATCTTCCCAAGAAAGTCCTAATCCCTGGGTGGAGCCCCATGTCATCAGTGATGAATATTCTGGAAATGGATCAAGGCAAACTGCATGGGATGATTCGAGGAACAAAGGAGAAAACCAAAGGGGGAAGGATGCTGCCACACCCAGCAGTGTGCCAGGCCCCATCCTCCCCTCAGCCCCCTTCTCCTCCTGGAAGACCAGCCCGACCCAGCAGGCTTCTCAAATGGGGATGGAACCATAACACTCCCTCATCATCTTCCGGAATCCAGCTAGGAGCAAGAAGCCACTAAACCCCCCATTGTACATATAGGGGAACTGAAGCTCAGAGGAGACGTTTACTTTGTCTAAGTTCATAAAACTAGTTATATGGCACTTGGATCTCCTAACTTCTAATCCATTTCATTCTTTTTTTTGTTTTGTTTTTTTTTTTTTGAGACAGAGTCTCTCCCTGTCCCCTAGGCTGGAGTGCAGTGGCGCCATCTCGGTTCACTGCAACCTCCACCTCCCGGGTTCTAGCAATTCTCCTGCCTCAGTCTCCTGAGTAGCTGGGATTACAGGTGCCTGCCACCACATCCAGCTAATTTTTGTATTTTTATTAGAGACGGGGTTTCACCATATTGGTCAGGCTGGTCTCGAACTCCTGACCTCAGGTGTTCCACCAGACTCGGCCTCCCAAAGTGCTGGGATTACAGCCGTGAGCCACTGTGCCTGGCCCCCATTTTGTTCTTAACGGTACTATTTTTCCATGTTTGAAAAGGTCATGAATCATGTCTTAGGAAGTCCTCTGGTGATATTTTGAATAGTTTAGAGTGCCAGATTCTGAACTCAGTTGAGATGAATGAAACACAGCTAATCTTGCTCTAAGGAAATATGCATTCCTGCAGGAAAGGATATGTTAGTTCAGTCTATTAAAAAATTGTTTTATGTAACACCAACTCTGGATAAGATGTAGATGAGAACCTGCAGAAAATGCAAAATGAAGGGAAACAGGGTCTCATTTTACACTTAGGGTGTAGCAGACGAGAGAAGATACGTACAACTGAGGCTATCGCCAACAATTAAAGGGCAGAACACAATGCTGAACATGGGTTACAGGGATTAATTGCCAGGAGGGGTTGAGAAGACTAGGATGTATCCAAACTCTCTATGTCCTGGTATCCCCATCCCAGAGAAACATTCCCACAGGCCAATAAGGAGACATGTGTGAGATGCTCACTGTAGCACTGCTTGTAGTGCCTGGGAGTTGGAAGCAACTTAAGAATGGATAGTACATGTGGTGTGTGGATATGATGGAACACTATGCTGTAAAAAGTCCACATGGCAACATGCACAGGTCTTAACTACCACTGAGTGAGCAAATAAATAGAATAAAAGCTTTTCTTTTCCTTTCTTTTTTTTTTTTTTTTGAAATGGAGTCTCGCTCTGTCACCCAGGCTGAACAGCAATGAAGCAACCTTGGTTCACTGCATCCTCCCCCTCCTGGGTTCAAGTGATTCTTCCACCTCAGCCTCCTGAGTAGCTGGGATTACAGATGCTCACCACCACGCCTGGCTAATTTTTGTATTTTTAGTAGAGACGGTTTTGCCATGTTGGCCAGGCTGGTCTCAAACTCCTGACCTCAGGTGATCCGCCTGCCTCGGCCTCCCAGAATGCTGGGATTACAGGTGACAGCCACTGTGCCTGGCCCGAAATAGAATAAGATTCATAGCACAAAATCAATTATGTAAATTAAGAACACACACACACATCCATGAAATAATATTATGAATCTTTTCCAGGAATCTGCATATATCTCTGTAGGCATATGGAAGGCAAACTGGAAGCAAAGATACTAATGCACTGAAGTGAGTATCTATGGTGAATGGTTAACAGGAGTGAGGGCAGAGAATGAGAGGGAAAATAACAGAATAAAACACATGCCTCATGCAGACCAATGACTTAATGAATATGATTAGCTCTGCACATCCAAGGAGCAGAAATAAAGTTATTTAAGAGAAGTAAAGGGACCTTCACTTTGGGGAAAGGGTTGAGGCAGGAACCTCCATGAGGAAGACAGACCCTGACCCAGTCAACTACCACCTGATCTTTCCCTGCCAAACCCATGTTTCCAATGTCTGTCGGTTTCCAACTCCAGCCTAGATGACAGAGCGAGACTCTGTCTCAAAACAAAACAAAACAAAAAACATAGTGCAGAGCCTGGCACAAAATAATAGCTGTTTTTATTTAGTTGTTTGTCTTGAGGTGAAATTCATGGCCCTGGAGGGGACACCCAGCAGTCTGGATCCTCACTGCAGCTTAGACACTGATCTATGGTGTGCCTGGGCCCTGCACCCTTCTCTTCCTGTGCCCCAGGGCCCATTTCAGTCTCCTCTATTTCCACTCACCCTTGGGATCTGCCTGGGCAGTACCTGCCCTTAGCACCAGATCCCCAAGCTCTATAACCTTGGAGGTCCTATACATTGAGACTAGGGTGAGAGCTGCTTGACCCTCAAATTACAGCGTCCCCTTCCCCTTCAACTGCTTGCCATCCTCATGTTCTAAAGAAGAAAACCTAGCACTGCAAAGCTGGGCTCTTTTCTCCTTAAAATGCCAAAGGAGATGAGCACAGTGGGGGCTCCTGTCTAAATCTCTGTCTCCCCTCTGCAGCACTATTTGTGATGGGAATTCTAAAGCAATTTATCACCGTAATGATTGCTGATTCCAGAACGTTATGGTGACTGATGGCCGTGCTAGCTGGAGCTTGTCTTCCCAGTTTTCTCTTTTACTAAAGAGTAATTGTGCAGAGTTGGTGGTAGATGATGGTGGCTCAGAGATGTGAGGTGAGAGAAGAAAGTCACAGCTCAGCTTGTCACCAACACTGGCGCAGGAGGGGCAGAGGGAGGTGTGCAAACTAATAGCTGAGAAGGCTCATAAAGAAAATTCAAACTCTCTGCATTTAGGTGGGTTGTTTGATCCCTGACTTTCCCAGTGCCTCTGACATACCCTCTCCAGGCAAAGACATCCCCTACTGAAATGGGGAAAGACATGACAAATGTTAGCTGAGCATTAGAAGAATGGTAGATCAGGAAGACGCTGTTCTACATCAACCTCATGGACAGACCAAGAGAAAATACAGCTGAGCCACTGCAAGATGGATTAAAGTTGGCTTAAGAAAGACACTCGTCCAGCTAAGAAGCAGTCCAAGGTGCAACTTATTATTCAAGGAAACACTCCAGACACCTCTTTTGAGTGGAGGAGACCATCCCTGCCAATCCCTGGGGAATGGTGTCCGATCGTTTTTGCTTTGCAACTTTCTAGGAAGCTCAGGGTAACATGGAGGCGGGGGAGCTGGGTTAGAACTTCAGGGCCTGTGTGTCCTCTGAGCATCCTGCCCTTGGGACTGCTGATCAAACTTTGGGGGTCTCCTCACCCCTCCACAGCTCTGGCACGAGTGTGGGATTAAGGGCTGTTGTGGGTTGAATAGTGTCTCCCCCAAATTTATATCCAACTGGCACCTCAGGCTGTGACTTTATTTGGAAATAAGGTTGCTGCAGGTATAAGTAAGTCTCTCAAGAATAAATCATCCTGGCCGGGCACAGTGGCTCACGTCTGTAATCCCAGCACTTTAGGAGGCCAAGGAGGGCAGATCACCTGAGGTCAGGAGTTTGAGACCAGCCTGTCCAACATGGCGAAACCCTGTCTCTATGAAAACCACAAAAATTAGCCGGGCGTGGTGGCGGGTGACTGTAATCCCGGCTACCCAGGAGGCTGAGGCAGGAGAATCACTGGAACCCGGGAGGCGGATGTTACAGTGAGCGGAGATCACACCACTGCACTCCAGCCTGGGGGACAGAGCAAGACTCCGTTTCAGAAAAAAAAAAAAGAATAAATCATCCTGGATTTAGGGTGGGCATGAAATCCAACAACTGGTGTTTTTTTGTTTTTGTTTTTTTTGTGTTTTTTTTTTTAATAGAGTCTTGCTCTGTTGCCCAGGCTGGAGTGCAGTGGAGCAATCTCGGCTCACTGCAATCTCTGCCTCCCCGGTTTAAGCGACTCTCCTGCCTCAGCCTCCTGAGTAGCTGGGATCACAGGTGTGCACCACCACGCCCAGCTAATTTTTGTATTTTTAGTAGAGAGGGGGTTTTGCCATATTGGCCAGGCTGGTCTCCAACTCCTGACCTCAAGTGGTCCACCCACCTCGGCCTCCCAAACTGCTGGGATTACAGGCGTGAGCCACCGCACCCAGCTGAACCACTGGTGTTCTTATAAAAAGAAGAGAAGACACATGGAGGAGAAAGCCATGTGAAGACAGAGGCTGGAATTGGAGTGACACATCTGTAATCCGAGGAATGCCACAGATGGCAGGTGGCAGCCAGAAGCTCGGAGAGCAGCATGGAACTGACTCTGCCTTAGAGCTTCCAGAAGGAGCCAACCCTGCCAACACTTTGATTCCTGACTTCTGCTCTCCAGAACTGTGAGACAATACATTTCTGTTATTTTTTTATTTTTATTTTTTTGACACAGAGTCTTGCTCTGTCTCCCAGGCTGGAGTGCAGTGGCACTCTCTCGGCTCACTGCAACTTCTGCCTCCCAGGTTCAAGTGATTCTCCTGCCTCAGCCTCCCGAGTAGCTGGGACTACAGGCACGTGCCACCATGCCCGGCTAATTTTTTGTATTTTTAGTAGAGACAGGGTTTCACCTTGTTAGCCGGGATGGTCTCAATCTCCTGACCTTGTGATCCGCCTGCCTTGGCCTCCCAAAGTGCTGGGATTACAGGCGTGAGCCACTGCACCTGGCCACATTTTGTTACTTTAAGCCCCATGTTTCTGGTAAATTATTACGCCAACTTTAAGAAACTAATATAAGGGAGTTGGGCAAAGGGGCTGCAGAGAGACCCAGTCTTCTTGGTTGCAGAGAACCCTAACCATATCACCTAGTTCAGTGACCCGAGTGTTACTGTCTCCAGCGCTGCCCAGGAGAGCATCTTCAGAAGTCAGAGAGTCTATCAATGTCACCCCCCCCCCAAGTTTCTTCTCCCGCATGCCCACTTCAGGCACACACAAACCCCACTTGAGGCTGGGTTTGGTGGCTCACGCCTGTAATCCCAGCACTTTGGGAGGCTGAGGCAGGTGGATCACCCGAAGTCAGGAGTTCAAGACCAGCCTGGCCAACATGCTGTCTCTACTAAAGACACAAAAATTAGCCATGTGTAGTGGTGGATGCCTGTATTCCTAGCTACTCGGAAGGCTGAGGCAGGAGAATCACTTGAACCTGGGAGGTGGAGGTTGCAGTGAGCTGAGGTCACGCTGTTGCACTCCAGCCTGGACGACAGAGAGAGACTCCGTCTCAAAACAGAAACAAAAACAAGGAACCCCACTTGAACTGCCACTCAGTGGGGACTTCAGTCAGGCCAAGCCCGGGGACTGCCCACCTCCCCTTTGTGACACCACATCTGCTCAGCTCACATCTTCTGGTCTCAGTTTCCCTGGTACCTTCCCCAGGCTGCCTCCTCAGAGGCTCAGTCAAACAGATGAAGCCCAGACAGGGACCATCCTCTATGGACTCCTCCACTGCCTCACTTCTCAACCATGGCTACCAGTCACAGAAAACACCCATTGGCCTCTCTAGCCTGGGGGAAGCAGAGAATGGCTAGGTGCAAGGCTTAGAGAGGTCAAACCAGTGGAAACCAAGATCCCAGCCCTCAAGACAGGGACCTCAGGGAAACCCCCAGTCATGGCACCCATATAGAGAAGACACTCTTTTACCTATTTGCTTTTTCTTTTCCTTTTGGCTGAGTAGACATTCCAGTAGAGAAGGCATTGTTTTACCCATTGTCCTCATTTCCCACCGTCAAGGCATCTGGGAAATAATCCCTCCTTTAAAGGGGGTGGATGTGCCTATGTGATGTTCGGGAAGAACATTCAAGAGTAGACAAATGGCCAAATGCCAGGGCCTTTCTAAAGGCCACCTACGTGATGCACTACCACTTAGGAACAAGCCGGGGTCTCCTGAGTCATTCTCCCTTCCCCATACGCTCTTCCCCTTGGTTGGACAGTTTGCCCCCCTCATAATCAGTTCTTAGCCATTTATTGGGGCATCTTGTACTTATTTCATTCTCAAAGCTGCTTGACTTCTCCCTAGAGCTGGGGCCTGCAGGGCAGCGGGGAACAGCCCTTGAGACTCATTCTTCTCCTTCCTGCAGAAGAACGGGTGGACTCCCAGCTCTGTCGTCTGCCAGGGGAGCTCAGAGCCAGAGGAGTGGGTGGGCACTGTCCTCTCTTCCTGGGCATGGGCTGGGTGTGGGGATGTGGAGTCTAACGGAGGGCCTATTCTCCATGTATTGCTGCTGAGGCAGCTGAAGGTGGAGAAAACTCCAGGGGAGGAAGAGGTGGGGCAATGACCATGTTGGAGAAGAGCTTTGAGAGACTGAGCAGATAAATGGACTCAAGATAAATGGACTCTCTCTCCCGAGTCACCATGCATCAGGGCAGCTGATGGGGAGGAGGCAGAGTGACCATACCCTGGAATCTTTGATTTCCTGTGGGTGGAAAGGCAAGTCGAGCTTGACAAACTCGTCCTGGGAGGTATGGAGCACGCAGGCATAGGGGGACGGGAAGGGCCACACTCAGGAAGCTAGGGGGCCATGGTCCTGGCAACCATCTGTTTCACTGCAAATTTTCTGCTTCATGGTCCCTCACCACACCCCCAAGTGTCTGTCAGACTGTATGTCCCAAGCTTACTGCAGGAATGTGGCCACCGAAGCGTGGCTGTCTTCCTCCCACCCACAGCTGGTCAGAGCCTGAGCGAGACTAGAACTCTGGCCTCTTCACTCCCAGCCCAGCACCCCTTCCTCCACTGACTCATCCAGGAGACTGTGAACACAGGGGCCCCACAGCCTCTCAGCTCTCTTCTCCTGCCTGTCTCCTGCTCCCTAAATACATTCAACACCCAGACAGGGAATGGCTGCTCCAAGAGCCCCCCAAGGTCCCCTTCCCTGGTGTCTGAGTTGTGCCAAGGGCAGGCTGCATGGCCACCACTAAAGTTCCGTTGCAGGACTGGGGTAGCATTAGGGTTGTTTGGTTTTAAAAATGTATGCAAAAATGTCTTCAGAACCTCCATATTCTCAGGTAAAAGAATTCCAGTGCCCAAGATAAGAGGGACCAGGGAAGGGGATGGGTCTAATTAGATCCAGAGGCCTATGCTTTAGAAAAGGGCCAGGGGGCTGTCGAGAATTGCTGGGCATAGGGCTGGGCACAGTGGCTCACGCCTGTAGTCCCAGCACTTTGGGAGGCCGAGGTGCGCAGATCGCTTGAGTCCAGGAGTTTGAGACCAGCCTGGCCAACATGGCGAAACCCTGTCTCTACCAGAAAAAGAAGAAAAAATGCAAAAATTAGCTGGGCATGATGATGCATGCCTGTGGTCCCAGCTACCAGAGAGGCTGAGGTGGGGACATTACTTGAGCCTTGGAAGTCTAAGCTGCAGTGAGCCAAGATCTCACCACTGCACTCCAGCCTGTGTGACAGAGCGTGACCCTGTCCCAAGGAAAAAAAAAAAAGGAATTGATGGGCATAAGGCCAGGCACGTGGTGCTCATGCCTGTAATCCCAGCACTTTGGATGATTGAGGTGGGTGGATTGCTTGAGCTCAGGAGTTCAAGATCAGCTTGGGCAACATGGTGAAACTCTGTCTCTAAAAAAAAAAAAAAAAAAAAAAAATTCGCCAGGCTAATGTGGTGGTGCATGCCTGTGGTCCCAGCCACTTAGGGGACTGAGGCAGGAGGATTGCTTGAATTGGGGAGGTCGAGGCTGCAATGAGCCGAGATCGTGCCACTGCACTCCAGCCTGGGTGACAACGTGAGACCCTTTTTCAAAAGGAAAAAAGAATTGCTGGGCATGGGTCTTACTGGAGCTCTGGGGTGCTGCCTCTAGGGCAGGTGGTCTGAGCACGTTCACTTGGGAGGTGAACTTGCAGTAGGGGAGACAGTCTCACTAATTAGTAATAAACATCTTTATTTCTTTTCTTTCTTTCTTTCTTTTTTTTTTTTTTTTTTGGTGACAGAGTCTCTCACTGTTGCCCAGGCTGGAGTGCAATCGTGCGATATTGGCTTACTGCAACCTCTGCCTCCCCGGTTCACGCGATTCTCCTGCCTCAGCCTCTCTAGCAGCTGGGATTACAGGTGCACACCACCACGCCCAGCTACTATGTGTATTTTTAGTAGAGACGGGATTTCACTATGTTGGCCAGGCTGGTCTTGAACCCCTGACCTCATGATCTGCCCGCCTCAGCTTCCTAAAGTACTGGGATTACAGGAGTGAGCCACCATGCCTGGCCCAACGTCTTTATTCCTTAATGAACAGTCTCCGTCATCCACCTCCGACTTAGTTCAGTCTCCTGCTTTCTAGGAATGGAGCTGTCCCAAGGTTTCGTGGCTGGTGAGGGGAGGAGAGACACCCACTCCTTGCTTCCTTACCAGTCACGTCACTCTAAGGTAGAGAACCTGGGAGCGTGGGATTCTGGTTTTCCTTGGGTTAGTTTGGGGAAGGTGAGTCCTTAAAGCTGCCGGGATAACAAAATAAGGGAGTGGAAGGTAGAGGAGACAAGTCAGCTTGATAAGAAAGAGAATAAGAGGCGTCAGAATCCTCTAGAAGGCAGATCTCTTGCTTCCCTTATCCGAGGGGCACCTCTGCGCCTTCCTTGCTGCTGAGTTCCTTCTCCATTCCTGTGGGCCAGGGACAGGAATGCTGAGAATGGTTCAACATTTTATCCTGAGCTATTTTGAGGGAAAAAAGAGGGGGGACAGAGCTGAGTGGTGGAGCCCAATCACTCCCTTCTCTCTGGTTCCCACCATCCCCTCCCCCACCCATGTTTTCGAGTTGCCAAGGAAACCGCACAGCCTATCTGCATCTTCTGTTTTGTTCCTGTCAAAACCATGAAACTTTCTAAGGCCAAATCAGTGGGAGCTCTGTCAGAGTTGGTCAGCAAGGAGAGGCCGCTCCAGCGTGAAGCCTCCTGCACGGATGCCCTCCCACACAGCTGTGCATGCACACACGCACACGCGTGCACACACAAGCACACACCACCCCCACACACCCGCACCTCCAATCAGCCAGCCCAACCACCGGGAGGAGAGAAAAATGGAAAACAAATAGGGAAAAAAATCCACCCTGCCCACCCCACAGAGCCACACACCCACACTACTTCCATCCCCCTCTCCTCTGAGTCTTGCAGGGCTGGAGAAGTTTGGCACCCCAGGCAGCTCACCCACTCCAACAGCACCCTGCCACCTCCGGCGTGGTGGCTCCAGAGACAGCGTGCCAGTCAGGCTACCCTAGGAGGTGAGTCCTGGGAGCAGGAGGAGGCAGCAAGCAGAGAAAGGGATATGGAGGAATAGCCCCGTAGTTCCAGGCAGCAGTCACAGAGTGATGTGTGACCTTGCAAAGGTCACCTAAATACACTGCTCAATGTCACTGAGACACAAGCTGCTACATCGAGTAGTGAGTCCTCCATCACTGGAGGTATTCAAGCAGGTGCTGAATGCCCATCTTTACAGGAGGCTCCTATAAAGAAGACTCCTACTTCAAGTGGGAGCTTAGGCCAAATAATCCCTGAGGTTCTGTTGGCAGGAAGATTCCAGAATCCATGGTTTAGAGCCTTTGTGTGCCACAGGACCACTTAGCACATGATGGCCTAGGGGCTGAGGGCAGGGGGTCACCCCTTCCTCCATACACAAGCATTCACCTATGCAGCTGACCTTCCCACTTATCAGCCAGGAGCCTAGCCATTGCTTTTCCTGGAAGGCTTACGTGGGTTCAAGAGTAGATGCCTAAGGAAAACCCAGCAGGGCCAGGCTTGGTGGTGCACACCTGCAATCTCAGCACTTTGGGTGGCTGAGGTGGGAGGATTGCTTGAGCCCAGGAGTTTGAGACCAGCCTGGGCAACATAGTGAAGCCCTGTCTCTACAAAAATTGTAAAATGTAGCTAGGTGTGGTGATGCGTGCCTATAGTCCTAGCTACTTGGGAGGCTGAGGTGAAAGGATCACTTCAACCCGGAAGGTTGAGGCTGCAATGAGCCGTAATTGTGCCACTGCACTCCAGTCTGGGTGACAGAGCAAGACCCTGCCTCGAACAAACAAACAAAAAAACCAAGGGAGGATTTCTGGGCATGAGAATTAGAGAGGCTAGCGCAACCAGCTTCGGGTGAGGCCCTGTCCAGAAAGCCGATTTCTGCCTGAAATAAAGACAGGATCGTGTTTTGAGAACCAGCTAAGAAAGTGGCCTTATTTTCTCAAAGATGAGGAACTGAGAGAGGTGGTCTCGCTGGCCAGGGGAGAAAGGGGTTGTCATCAGGAGAAGAAGGCAAAGTAGAGGCAATAATGTAAGCTCCTTAGGATCAGGGAGAGTGCTGGGTCCTAGAATCCAGACCCCTGGGAACTATTGCCCCACCTGTGCTCTGCACAATGGTGCCCACGGAAGGGGTGAACTGGGGCTGAAATCCAGCCAACCAGTGCCTCCTGTAGGACAGAGGCTGCCTGGAGGAGGGTCACCATCAGTTCTTTTTCCTGATCCTCTCCCTCCTACCACCCCACCCTCCGGTAGGCCCCAGTGTGTGTTGTTCCCCTCGACGTGTCCATGCGTTCTCTCATTTAGCTCCCACTTATAAGGGAGAACATGCAGTATTTTGTTTTCTGCTCCTGCGTTAGTTGGAGGCTCCTTTTTCTAAATCTCACCCAGGGTCAGTAGCGGCCCTGCTCACACCCATCGCACTGATCTTCCCATAGGAAGATCATCATCAGTACCCTATGATCTTCCTAAGGTACTAGCCTTACTGAGACCCTCCCTACTTAAACTCTTCAGTGGTTGCCCGTTTATCCTAATGGGAAAAAGGCAAATTTCTTAGCCTGGTTGACAGGGCCCTTTATCTTGTACCTCTCCCTGCCCATCTCCATCTTCCCAGTCTTTTTTTTTTTTTTTTTGAGACGGAGTTTCACTCTTTTTGCCCAGGCTGGAGTCCATTGGTGCGATCTCAGCTCACCAATGCACTCCTCTGCCTCCCAGGTCCAAGCAATTCTCTCGCCTCAGTCTCCCGAGTAGCTGGGATTACAGGTGCCCACCATCATGCCCAGCTAATTTTTTGTATTTTTAGTAGAGACGGGGTTTCACCATGTTGGCCAGGCTGGTCTTGAACTACTGACCTCAGGTGATCCGCCTGCCTTGGCCTCCCAAAGTGTTAGGATTACAGGGGTGGGCCACCACACCCGGCCCCCAAGTCTTTTTAACATTTTCCAGTGCTCCAGCCACATCACCCTACCTACCTTCCCCCAAATTCTGTATTCTACACTGCCCAGCTTCCTCAAGGTTCTTTCCAGCCTAGATCAGACAAGGAACTCAGTTGTGAACAACAGAAACCATCTCTCACTAACCAGCAGACAAAGAATAGTCTGGGCCAGGCTCAGTGGCTCACGCCTGTAATCCCAACACTTTGGGAGGCTAAGGCGGTGGATCACCTGAGGTCAGGAGTTCAAGACCAGCCTGGCCAACATGGTGAAACCCCGTCTCTACTAAAAATACAAAAATTAGCTGGGCATGGTGGCGGGTGCCTGTGATCTCAGCTACTCAGAAGGCTGAGGCAGGAGAATTGCTTGAACCCAGGAGGTGGAGGGTGCAGTGAGCGGAGATTGCACCACTGCACTCCAGCCTGGGTGACAGAGTGAGACCCAGTCTCAAAAAAAAAAAAAAGAATAATCTAGAAAGTTAAATTCTGTTAGCTCAAGAGTTGATGGGCAGCACCTGCCCTCAAAGTCGGGAACCAAGGGATGCTGGTGGCAGAGAACACTCCAAGATCACAAGACAGGGAGCACCTTGTTAGGGCACTGCTGCTGGTTCTGCCCCTCACCATCCACACCACCCCCAACACTAGATACTGTTCCTGAAGGAGTCCAAAATGACCACCACTGCTACGAATGACTGCTCCTGCCCAGGTCCCAAAGATCCCAATGGGAGCACCAGATTGGCTGAGCTCAGCTTCCAGGGCCCATCCTCACCCCACCCTCACTCTGCCCATGCCACATTTGTGGCGGGGGTTCGGGGGGAGCAGGGAGACACAAACCCTGCCCTCATCAGCATGTGGTCAAAGGTAGAATGCTTCCCCAACTAAGACTCCTATAATGAGGAATTCCCTCCAAAATAGGAAAGTTGCTCAGTACTGGACAATCAAAAACATGACAAGTGTCAACTCCACTGTCCCTGTCTGCCTCATCAATTCCTATTCACTCCTCGAATGAACTCCTGTAAAACCTCCCTCCAGGCTGGGCACAGTGGCTCACGCCTGTAATCCCAGCACTTTGGGAGGCCAAGGCAGGTGGATCACCTGAGGTCAGGAGTTCAAGACCAGCCTGACCAACATGGTGAAACCCCGTCTCTACTAAAAACACAAAATTAGCCAGGCGTGGAGGTACACACCTGTAATCCCAGCTACTTGGGAGGCTGAGGCAGGAGAATCACTTGAACCCGGGAGGTGGAGGTTGCAGTGAGTCGAGATCGTGCCATTGTACTCCAGCCTGGACAACAAGGGAAAAATTCCGGGCTGGGCGCGGTGGCTCATGCGTGTAATCCCAGCACTTTGGGAGGCTGAGGTGGGGGGATCACCTGAGGTCAGGAGTTCGAGACCAGCCTGACCAACATGGAGAAACCCTGTCTCTACTAAAAATACAAAATTAGCCAGGCATGGTGGCGCATGCCTGTAATCCCAGCTACTTGGGAGGCCGAGGCAGGAGAATTGCTTGAACCTAGGAGGCAGAGGTTGCGGTGAGCGGAGATAGCGCCATCGCACTCCAGCCTGGGCAACAAGAGCGAAATTCTGTCTCAAAAAAAAAAAAAAAAAGAGAGAGAGAGAGAGAGAGAAGAGGAAAAATTCCTTCTAAAAAACCAAAAAACAAGCAAACAAACAAACAAACACAAAAAAACAAAAAAAAAAACAAAAACCTTCCTCCTACCTAAGCACGCTTCAGTGACCCCTCTATGTTTTCATAGTACCTGATATTTACCTCCACCAAGGCCTTCTTATTTTAGCAAAGTGGTTTTCAGATTTGTCTTCCTCACCAGACCGTGAGTTCCTTTGGGTCTTAGAGGGGGACATACTCATCTGTGACCCCTTGTCGGTATCCTCTGTCCCCATCCCCATGGGCAGTGGTAGTGGGAGCTCAGTAAATGTGTGAGCGAATGACAGAATGAATATGTTCATCCCTGAGGGTCCTCACATGAAAGAAGATCAGCTTAGAGCATCTTACGTGCCTGGTGGAGTATGATGAATGCGATCCTCACTACAGAGTTGGGGCGCAGAGAACTAAGGAACGAAGCTAAGTGCTTATGTTTAAAAGTACTAGACAGAAAAGCTGTTAGCAAGTGATCCTCTTTCTTAAAGAGCTGTAAGGTACATCTTCCAAAAGATACTCTAGAGAGGGACCTGGTGGGGTATGCATCCAGCTGTAACCCGGAGGCCTTGGTGGCTGTAAATCTGGAATTGTGTGGGTTGAGATGAAAACGCTTTCCAGTCATTAGGCCCCATTGTGAAGGTAATTATATAAAGTCCTGATGCAGACACCTGGGCCAGGAGTGGGCTGGATCTGCCCTGAGTGGCCCCCACAGGGGAGAAGAGTGGGAGAGAAGCATCTGGAAAGATACAGGAGGGTAGCAAGAGCTGATCAAAATAGAAGGGAAGAAGCAGAAGAGAAGATGAGGGAGAGAAGTGCCAGGAGAAAGACCACATAGGAGCCAAACCCGTTGGACAGGGGTCTGCAACCAAGGAGCTGAGGCCTGGAATGTAACTACTGATGGGGAAACAGAGGGCATGGGATTGAGCTTGCTGCTGCCAGGGAAAAGAGGCAGAGAGGGGTGAATAAATAGTGAATGCCTACCTCAGTTAATCAAACATTTATTACATGTCTACTACATGCTAGGCACTGCACTAAGGCACTAAGGATACAAAGGTACAAGATGGTATACATAAGCACATGCAAACCCCGTTCATTCCGGGATTTACAGAGCAGTGAGAGAGACACAGACAAAGCCTGAGACTATGAAAATTTGTTCGGCAGAGAGCAGTGGCTCGCGCCTGTAATCCCAGCACTTTGGGAAGCTAAGACTGGAAGATAGTTTGAGGCTAGGAGTTCAAGACCAGCCTAGGCAATGTAGTGAGACCCCCATCTCAACAAAAATAAAAGTATTAGCCAGGCATAGTGGTGCACACCAGAAGGCCCACTTGAGCCTGGAAATATCGAGGCTACAGTGAGCCATGATTGCGCCATTGCACTCCAGCCTTGACAACAAAGCAAAACCTTGTCTCAATAAATAAATAAAAATAAAAGCATGCCCTGGTCACCTTTCATGGCACAAAAGCATTATTTAAAAAAATTGTTAGATAGAAGTAAGAGAAGAAGAAGAATGCAATGGGAACACAATAAAGGGACACTTCCAGCTGGAGGAGACGCCCGTTGAGCTCAGTGTTGATGGATGGGTCAGTCAAGGGGAGAGAGGTGGGAGGGGGCTCCTGCTAAGGAGGCAGCATGAGCAAACACATGGACACACAGGCCAATGTGGAATGGGATGCAGAGGTGATGGGGACATGACAAGAGCCGGAGAAGCCAGGTGGAACCAGGTACAGCCACGTGTGCCAGACTAACGGGCTTGACTTCAACCTGCAGGTAATGGAGACTCATTGACAGGTTTTCTCAGTGCCTGATGTGGTGAAATTTGCATTTTAGGGGTGTCACGTTGACTATAGTGTGAGAGTGAATTTACGTAGAGGAAGACTGTAGTCAGGGAGACCAATTAGGAGTTGATTGCCATTGTCAAAGTGAAAGATGTGGTGCCATTATCTGAGATGGAGGACACAGAAAGAGAATAGTTAGCAGGAGGGAGGGGTGATGATGATATGTTTGAGACAAGTTGAGTATAGAATGTTTGTGGACTACTTAAGAGCATGTGTCTAACAGGCATTTGAATATGAGCATAGGAAACTGAAGGGAGAGGTGGCAGCTGAAGACACGGATTTGGGCTTCATCAGCAAATGGATCATAGCTTCAGTGGATGGAAGTGAACCAGCTCTCCCAGGAAGAAAACACACAAAGCCAAGCAGTGGGCTCAGGCTTGAACTTTGAGAAACTCCCATGTTTAAGGGGTGCTGAAAAAGCGGCCTCTAAGAAAGACAATGCTAGAGGGAAGTCAGAGAGTCAGAGAAGTAGAAGGAAAACCAGCGAAGACTCAGGGCCACAGAAGACAAGAAATGGGAGGTTTCAGGAAGGAAGGAGAGGACAACAGGGTCAGAAGCAGCGGAGAGGCCCAAAAAGATAAACTGCAAGTGGCCACTGGGGTTTGCAAAAATGGAAGTAATGGATGATCTTTTTAAAAATGTATGTTGTGTGGTGTAGGGCAAGATATTAGCAAGTGGTGAAGTCTAAATAGTGTATGGGAGTTCCTTTTTTTTTTTTTTTTTTTTTTTGGATGCAGGGTCTCACTCTGCTGTCCAGGCTGGAGTGCAGTGGTGCGATCATAGCTCACTGCAGCCTCCAACTCCTAGGCTCAAGCAATCTTTCTACCTCAGCCTCCCAAGTAGCTAAGACTACATACAGGCACATGCCACCACAACTGGCTAATTAAATATGCCCGGCCTCTTGCAACTTGTCTTTGGGTTTGAAATTGCATGAAAATAAATAGTTACCCCCTAGGGCCAGGTGGCACATGCCTGTAACCCCAGCACTTTGGGAGGCCGAGGTGGGCAGATCACTTGAGGTCAGGAGTTTGGAGACCAGCCTGACCAGCATGGTGAAACCCCATCTCTACTAAAAATACAAAAATTAGCCAAGCGTGGTGGCTCACACCTGTAGTCCCAGCTACTTGGGAGGCTGAGGCAGGAGAATCACTTGAACCCTGGAGGTGGTGGAGGTTGCAGTGAGCCAAGATCACGCCGCTGCACTCCAGCCTGG
Organism: Homo sapiens; assembly: GCF_000001405.40. Classification (NCBI taxonomy): domain Eukaryota; kingdom Metazoa; phylum Chordata; class Mammalia; order Primates; family Hominidae; genus Homo; species Homo sapiens. Next base: position 203,579,412 of record NC_000001.11, read on the forward strand.
GTGACAGAGCGAGGCTCCGTTTCAAAAAAAAAAAAAAAAAAGGAAAAAGAAAAGAAAAAACAGTTATCCCCCCAAAAGTGGGTTTTTGTTTTAAAATAATGAATAATGCAAGGTCATTTTTAAGATGTATACAATTCTAAAAGGCATAGACTAGAAAATGAAAATTCCCCTTTCCCTCATCAGTATCTGAATCCCACCCTGCAATAGTAACTTTGTCATTGTTAATAGTTTGGTACATTTCCTGCCACATTCACTTTATTTGTTGTTCTTACAAAAATACAATCATACTATATATTCTATTTTGCTATTTAAAATATACCACAGGCATTTTGTCATGACAGAATACATGTTTTCACCTTCATTCTTCAACACTGCACAGTATTCTATCATATGGATACTCATTCATTATTAATTCTGAAATTTAAAACCTTTTTAAAAGTACAGAAAATAAAATAACGGACACCCATGTAGCTACTTTTATTTTATTGTATTTCATTTTATTTCATTTTGAGATGGAGTCTTGCTCTGTCACCAGGATGGAGTGCAGTGGTGCTATCTCGGCTCACTGCAACCTCCGCCTCTTGGGTTCAAGCAATTCTCTGCCTCAGCCTCCTGAGTAGCTGGGATTATAGGCACCCACCACCACACCTGGCATTTGTTTTTGTTTTTGTTTTTGTTTTGAGATGGAGTTTTGCTCTTATTGCCCAGGCTGGAATGCAATGGCTCGATCTCAGCTCACTGCAACCTCTGCCTCCCGGCTTCAAGCGATTCTTCTGCCTCAACCTCCTGAGTAGCTGGGATTACAAGGGTGCACCACCATGCCCAGCTAATTTTGAGTTTTTAGTAGACATGAGGCTTCACAATGTTGGTCAGGCTGGTCTCGAACTCCTGACCTCAGATGATCTGCCCACCTTGGCCTCCCAAAGTGCTGGGATTACAGGCATGAGCCACTGTGCCTGGCCCAGCTATTTTTGTTTTGTTTTGTTTTGTTTTTGTATTTTGTATTTGTGTAGAGACAGGGTTTCACCATCTTGGCCAGGCTGGTCTTGAACTCCTGACCTCGTGATCCACCTGCCTCGGCCTCCCAAAGTGCTGGGATTACAGGCATGAGCCACCACACCTGGCCTGCAACTACTCTTTTAAAACAAATGTTAACAGTCTGTGATACCTGTTTTAGATTCTTTTTTGGACTATAGTGGGCTTGCCTGGATGAGATATGATTGAAAAGCCCCAGGATGGCCAGAAGTTGCTTAAAAATACAGCCTGACCTCATCACACCCCTGCTTTAACCTTTTCAGTGGCTCCCATAGCCTCTAGGCTCAGTCCAAGCTCTTTAGTAAGGCATTCCTATGAGCCTCGGCCTGTGTCCACTTGCCTTCCTCTCCCCGACACAGCCAGGCACAGGTCCTTTCATTGTCCTTTCCTCAGGCTCATCTCTCTAGCTGGATTAATTCCCCATTCCACTCGGCTGCCCCACCACCATCCCACTTGGAGAATACTTAGTCATCTTTAGGACCCAGCTCAAGAGTCACTCGGGTGCCCCACCCCTGCCAGGTAGGACTGAACTCTTCCTATCCCCACTATTATGGCCTCCATCTGTTTCTATCATAGAATTTTGCTTTGTTTGGGGTTTTGTTTTGTTCTGTTTTTGAGATGGAGTCTTGCTCTGTTGCTCAGGCTGGAGCGCAGTGATGTGATCTTGGCTCACTGCAACCTCCACCTCCCAGGTTCAAGCAATTCTTGTGCCTCAGCCTCCTGAGTAGCTGGGACTACAGGCACGTACCACCACGCCCAGCTAGTTTTTTTGTTATGAGACAGGATCTTGCTCTGTCACCCAGGCTGGAGGGCAGTGGTGCAATCTTGGCTCACTGCAGCCTCAACCTCCCAGACTCAAGCATTCCTCCCACCTCAGCCTCCCAAGTAGCTTGGACAACAGGCACACACTACCACCACATCCAGCTAATTTTCTTATTATTTTTTGTAGATAGGTTCTCACTATTTTGCCCAGGCTTGCCTTGAGCTCCCAAGCTCAAGCAATCCTCCTGCCTTAGCCTTCAAATGTGCTAGGAATATAGGCGTGAGCCACCGCACCCAGCCTGTCGCAGAGCTCTTATCCTTGGCTCCCCTTTGTTGAACTGCCCATCACCCACCCTGGACTATAAGTCCCTTGAGGACAAGATCCTTGTCTTATTCTTCTCTGACTCCCCAGTGCCTGCACCATGACTGGCACACTCTGCAAATACTCTTTAAATAACCTTGTGGGCTCTGGAATCCCTGGTGGCAGAGCAAAGAGTTAGGTGGGCAGCCTGACTCCTTTCTGTTGGTCTCCAATAACAAGGTGCCCAGGAGCACTCTGGATCTCCATAATCACCAGGGTCCCCACCTGCAGGGGCCCTGCTCCACTTTCCCTGTGTCCTAACTAAGCCGAGCAGCCCCAGGTCTCCCTGCCCACTCGCTGGCTCTCCCGCCCACATTGCCCGCCAGATGCCCCTCTGTAGAGTCAGCAGGGAGCACTCAGAGGAGCTCATTACTTAATGGTCAATGGACCAGACTCCTGTCTCCCCAATGAGCCCACAAAGGCTGTTTGGAACACGGCCCCAATTCCTGTAAATGGAAAGCGATTTGCACTCATTCCCAAGATGAATCATTTTGTTTTAATCGCCTGTCCTTTTGCTGGCACTGCCACTGTCACGGCTGCCTGCTCTGCCTTTTGGCCGTCTGTTGGAGGGATGCTCTTCCAGGCCCTGTTAATTACTGAGAAGGGAGGTGCATGAAGGAGGAAACAGAGGGAACCCCCAGAAGGAGCAAGGTAATAGGCAGCAATGGGTCAACACTAATGAAAATGATATGACTGCCCTTCCAGAACCCAGGCAAATATCCCAAACAGGCAGACAGCAGCTCCCAACTTGCGGCCCCTTGGGGGGCTTCTCTGGAGACCAGACAGAGCTAAAGTGAAGGGAGCATCCAGCCCTCTCATGCCCCTAGGGAAAGCTTCCCCATCTGAGCTCCTCTGAGCTGGATTAGCTGGGTGATAGACCCTAGGGAAGAGGGGGAACAGGAAAATTGTGGGGCACAGAATTAGTTCCTTGAATTTTGGTATACAATTGGTGGCATGAAGAGACAATAAAATTTACATGCATTTTTTTTTTTCCTAAGGCAACAATTCCAGGAGTCCATGTAGGATGGCAGCCACGTTTTCTTCCCATCTATGGGAGGGCCGATCCTATAGATCTATTGGGGAGAGTCCAGCCTGCTGTCACAAAAGGGAGAGCTTCTGGCCCAGTGTCTGTCCTCTGCCCATGGTGCTGGCACTGGGGCCCAAGGGCTGTTCTGTGCCAAGGCCTATGGCCCAGACTTCAGGTTCTCCCTCTGCATAATGAAGGGCCCATGCCCACTGGAAGTTTAGAAGTGTGCTCACTCCTCCACGGTGCAATGAACTTTTAGGCTTGCTCAAGTCCTGCCCTGGCTGGAAAGGGGAGTGGCAGGGGCCTTTGCAGGGGAAGTAGGAAGGCTGACCCTGGGAGGCTGACCACCCTTCCTGGCCAGCCTGCTGGTCAGGAGGCTCCCAGAGTGCCTGTGGTGGAGGCGGCTACATGGCCCCTGGAGGACTCTTCCTGCCCAGGATCTCGGACTCCCAGAGGATCAATGAGCTCCACAATTCATAACCTGGGATAGGAGGATGAGGGGACTCTAGTCACTCCCCAGTGGGGGACTGAGCCTCTAGGAGTGGGGGTTTACTATATTCCAGCCTAGCCACCTCTGAAGATTTTGTGGGATTGAGTGGAAATATTTGTTTGTGATAACTTAAACCCTTCTTGGAGATGGCAGGCTTTCCTCGGTCCCTTTCTCTCTCACTGCCCTGCCTCTTTACCTCATGCAGTGTGATAACTCTCTCCCCCCAGGCCCCCTACTTCCTGTGACCTCACATTCTGAGACGCCCAGCCTCTGATGACCATGTGTGGAGTCTGCTGGAAACAACCCTCTCCTCAACCCTCCTCTGCTGCACCAGGGAAAGGGATAGGCTGGCATTGCTGCAGGAGGTTGCTGAGCCTGCTGGGAAGCAAGGACCCTAAGAACAATGTGCTAGAAAAGCCAAGGTGGGCCAGGTGTCATGGTTCACACCTGTAATCCCAACATTTGAGAGGCCGAGGCAGGAGGATCATTTGAGCCCAGAAGTTTGTCCAACATAGTGAGACCCTATCTCCACAAAAAACAAACAAACAAACAAACAAACAGCTGGGTGTGGTGGTGTATGCCTATAATCCCCAGCTACTTCAAGTGGCTGAAGCCCAGGAGTTCAAAACTATGGATCGCACAATTTGCACTCCACTCCAGCCTGGGCATCGAAGTGATCTCATCTCTTAAAAAAAAAAAAAAAGAGAGAGTGAGAGAGAGGAAGGTGGGAACGGAGGGAGGGAGGGAGGGAGGGAAGGAGGGAAGGAAGGAAGGAGAGAGAGAAGGAGGAAGGGAGGGAGGAAGGAAGGAGAGAGAGAGAGGAAGGAAGGAAAGAGAGAAAGGGAGGGAGGGAGAGAGGGAGGGAGGAAGGAAGGAAGGAGAGAGAGAAGGAGGAAGGGAGGGAGGAAGGAAGGAGAGAGAGAGAGGAAGGAAGGAAAGAGAGAAAGGGAGGGAGGGAGAGAGGGAGGGAGGAAGGAAGGAAGGAAGGAAGGAAAGAAAGAAAGAAAGAAGGAAGGAAGGAGAGAAAAGCCAAAACCCTCACTTCTCCATCTGGCTCCCCAGACTACTGCCAGGAACAAGTCCAAGAGCAGAGAAATGTGGGTTTCCTAAGAAAGGATGTGTCATGAAGGAAGAGAGGATAAGGAGGCTCATTCAATAAATATTTTTCAACTGCCTACTATGTGTCAGGCACTGTTCCAGGCACAGCTGTGTCCAAAACAGGCAAAGTCTCTGCTCTGATGGAGCTTACACTCTACAGCTCATCATGGAAGGTTGGAATTGGCTGAGGCCTGAGAAACAGCTCCTGAATTTTTGGATAAAAGTGAGTGAGCAGCGGCTAAGCCAGGACCAGGGCTCAGGACCTCAGCCTGCCAAGCAGTGTCCAGGGGAGAGGAGAATGGCACAGGCTGTGACTGCAGCCCAGCACCTTCTCAGAGGCTCTATCAAGAGAGAGGGTCACTGTGCTGATTGAAAAAGATGATGTAAAGTGTCAAGTTCCCCTGCTCCCTTCTCCAAGCCTGTTCCACACGTCTCCAGCTGACTCTTGTCTGCTCCTTTCTGACTTGGTGGCTTGGGACAGAAAATCCTGAAAACCTGTTCCCTTGATCCAGCAGCTCCAAGACAGCCCCTGAGGACAAAAATTCCTAGGGAATACTGACCTGAGTTCCGTAGGCCCAGAGGGAGGAAAAGCAAACAGGAGGAAGCTGTGGGAGGCAAGGAGTTAAACCCAGGCTGCAACTCATTTAGGTTCAACTCCACTAGATAATGTGTGTAGAAGTCCAAGCAGAAAGCCTGATATATGTCGGTACTCAATAAATATTAATCTTCCTCCTTCCCTCCTTCCTTGTCTCCACTGGACAATACCTCCAATTCAAATGCCTTATCAATCATTTATAACATCGCTGATAGTAATAAGATTCATAAAAATTCAAATTGTAGGAGCTTTGCTCTACCCTTCTGGCTTCAGATCAGAAAGCTACACAGCTACATATCTCATCCTCTGTTGGGAAAGGAGGGCAATATCCCTTGAAATTCTCTGACCCCCAATTTAGCTTTTTTTATTTTCTTTTTTTTTTGAGACGGAGTCTCACTCTGTCTCCCAGGCTGGAGGGCAGTGGCACAATCTCGGCTCACTGCAACCTCCACCTCCTGGGTTCAAACAATTCTCCTGCCTCAGCTTCCCAAGTAGCTGGGGCTACAGGTTGCACCACCACACCCAGCTAATTTTTGTATTTTCAGTAGAGACAGGTTTCACCATGTTGGCCAGGCTGGTCTCAAAACTCCTGACCTCAAGTGATCTGCCTGCCTCTGCCTCCCAAAGTGCTGGGATTACAGGCGTGAGCCACCATCCCCAGCTCCAATTTGGCTTTTAATTCAGATCATCCCACTTCATTGGATGTCCTTCAGAAACAGGAGTGTCTCTTCTGCCAGGAACGTGGCTGAGCTAGGGATGAATAAGGTGGCCACGCCTAGCCTCCCTAATTCTCACTTTCCTCTGGTTGTGGTTCCGAGGGCCCCACCTGGCAGGTGTTAGACCGGACGCTGAGGACCTCTCCCTGTGCCTGCCCTGAGTCCTGGCATCTGATCTCAGGCCGTGGCTCTGGCTGTCTTCCTCCCTACTCCTTATCTGCCCTTACTTTACTGCTAATGGATCTCTCCCCCATGGATTCTTAGCACCTACAGTTACAGGCATTGATTTGAGTGGAGCTTTTTTGTATTGCCATTGATGTTAAAGATAACCAACAACAGCAAGCTTAAATTCTAATGTGATATAACAATAAGCTCCAGCTCACAAAACATGCCAGCCTCCCAGGAGAAGTCTGAGCACTTACCAAGTTATTTTCTGTGCAGGCAACAGTTTCCCCCAATCCCAGGGAAAGTAAGACAAAGCAAAGGCAATGGTTGTTGAAGTCGGGGGAGAATGGGAAAGAGGGTGTCCAGGAGATGCAGAAGGAGGCTTGCTTCCTTGAAAGGGTGGGAGAGAGGAGATAACATTTTGAAGTCATCAGGAAATGCATCTTCTTCCATTCTTAGGAGCCACCCACCATCCCGGCCCCCATTTGGGTCAGGAGTGAAGGTGAACACACAGTAAGAAGTGAGGAGTGGAACCCCCTGCCAGGGACGGGCTCACTCAGGGGACTCAATGACTGGAAGACCTGGGTGCAGAGCCTCCCCCACCCTCCCTGCTGCACATTCCAGACTTTTAGGAGTCTCCTGCCTGTCTCTGTCCCTTCCCTTCCACTCTTCCATCCTCTTCAGCACCCACTTACTTCTCCCGTTTCTGGTCCCCGACTCCTAGGAAACCTTAGGGCTGTCACTCTTAGGAGCTGAAGGCTGTGTGATCGAATACCCTTCCATCCCCTCCCCTACCCGCCCTTCTGGTCCTGCTCAGCCAAGGTCTTTCGTTTCTGCTTTGGAGGGTCCCTATCCCTCTTTCCACGCCAGGCCTCCCCGCCTGGGATGCATCAGACCCTATGAGTGGCTGCTCTCGCTGGCGGCTTTGCTTCATTATCTGACTCAGTATCAACAGGAGATGATCTGTCCATCCTTAGGCCCCACTGTAGCCTGTCCTCACCCCTGCAGACCTTTCCCTAGCATCCCCGCCTGCCACGCAGCATTGCTCCCCACTTCTCCTTTCATGCAATTTCCACATCTCCTGTGAGAGCATTTGGAAACCTGCTTTTGGTTAGAGCGGCGGCTGTCTTCTGCACATGTAGAGCCCCTTGTCTGATCTGTCTCACTATACAGCTAACCTGAATTATTCATTAGCGGGAGCGAGCAAACTGACTTCATAAAGATGCCAGTGAGGGTTTGCGGAGCTGTTTCGGTATCTCTTATTGATGCATTGAGCTATTTTTCCGGCTTGCTAAGAGCCCACCAAATAGGAGTGGGGGCCAAGCTGAGGACTGGAGAAAAAAGGCTGCGCATTTGAATCCTCACTTTGCTACTCCCAGATTTGTGTGTCTTGCTAAGACGATTGACTTCTCAGAGACTCCTTACTCCGATAAAGAAAAATAGTGATTTTTGTCCTCTGGTTTCCCAGACACAGACACCTTAGGAGGACATATAGATTTTGCTCATCAAGTGTTTTAGAGGTTTCTTTGGAGTTTCTTTTTTTTTTTTTTTTTTCTTGAGACAGAATTTAGTTCTTCTTGGCCAGGCTAGAGTGCAATGGCACGATCTCAGTTCACCACAACCTCTGCCTCCAGGGTTCAAGCGATTCTCCTGCCTCAGCCTCTTGAGTAGCTGGGATTACAGGCATGCGTCACCACACCTGGCTAATTTTGTATTTTTAGTAGAGATGGGGTTTCTCCATGTTGGTCAGACTGGTCTCGATCACCAGACCCTCAGGTGATCTGCCCGGCTTGGCCTCCCAAAGTGTTGGGATTACAGGTGTGAGCCACCGCACCCGGCCTTTTTTTTTTTTTTTTTGAGATGGAGTTTTGCTCTTGTTGCCCAGGCTGAAGTGCAGCAGTGCGATCTCGGCTCACTGCAACCTCCATCTCCTGAGTTCAAGCAATTCTCCTGCCTCAGCCTCCCGAGTAGCTGGGATTACAGGAGCACACCACAATGCCTGGTTAATTTTTTTTATTTTTAGTTGAGATAGCGTTTTACCATGTTGGCCATGGCTGGTCTTGAACTCCTGGCCTCAAGTGATCTGCCCATCTTGGCCTCCTAAAGTGCTGAGATTATAGGCATGAGCCACCATGTCTGGCCAGTTTCTTTGGAGTTTCTGGAGGAAGAAGCCTTCTGATGATTTTGCTCTATGCTCACTCCTAACCTTCCTGGTGGCCCAGGGACTTCTGGCAGAAAACAAGTTTCCTAATCAGCCAAAAGCATGTACAACACCTGAAGAGAGGACAGGATACATGGTCCTCAGCAGGCTTCATGTTTGGGAGACACCACGCCTTCTCTCAGGAAAGTTCCAGTCTGAAAGGGTGAACAGGTACAGAGAAGGATACATTCACAAAACGAAACAATAATAGCACGAAGACCCAGAAATGGCAAATAAAAACATGGTAACACTTCCTCTTCCATGGAGAATGTACAGAATCGTGACAGAGGACAAAATGCAGAGACAGTCACAGAAATAAGTACCCAGTCCTGCTCCCCTTGCCAGCACTGCTCCTGGGCCATCAATTCCCCACTCTGTGGGGTTTAACAGCTAAGAACCCACTGATACTGATCCCCTGGGCCACAGTTCTTCTCCTCCAAAGCAGCAGATGAAAAATTCATGGTGACAGCTTCAGGCCTCCAAATGCTGCTTGCTTTCTTTCCTTCTTTCCTTCTTTCCTTCTTTCCTTCTTTCTTTCCTTCCTTCCTTCCTTCTTTCTTTCTTCTTTTTTTTTTTTTTTTTTTTTTTTTTGGTGGAGTCTTGCTCTGTCCCCCTGGCTGGAGTGCAATGGTGCCATCTCGGCTCACTGCAACCTCTGCCTCCCAGGTTCAAAAGATTCTCCTGCCTTAACGTCCTAAGTAGCTGGGGTTACAGGTGCCTGCCACCACGCCCAGCTATTTTTTTATATTTAGTAGAGATGGGGTTTCACCTTTTTGGCCAGGCTGGTCTTGAACTCCTGACCTTAGGTGATCCGCCCACCTCAGCCTCCCAAAGTGCTGGGATTATAGGTGTTAGCCACTGCACCCAACCCATTTGCTGCTTTCCGAGGCTGCTGTCTGCAGAGAACCAAGGACCACCAGGAAGGCAATGGGCCAGAACTTTGGCCCAGGCCATCTTCTCATCCAGAGCAGATAAGTCCTTTCTGAGAGAGACAGAGGAGGAGACACAGCCAGTGACCTGGGATGCTAGGTGTTGGTTTGCCAGCTTGCTATAGGATGTGACCCCTTCATTCCCATTCCAAAGTGCTTAAAGGGACCCGAAGGTCCATCCTGTTCTGTCCACCCCAGCCCAGGTTGCTGCAATAGGAGGGAGGGAAGGATGAGAAGACAAGGATGGCAGGGAAGTGGGGAAGGGGCAAACCTGGCAATTCCAGCTTTAGCTACTGAGTTTCTCTGGAAAAAGAAAATTTCATGTGAAAGCAAGGGCATCATTGGATGTAAGGAGTTCTCTGCTATGTCATCACTCTATCCACAGCACCCAGCACAAAGGAAGCTTTTTAAAAATGCATGCTGCATGAGCATCAGTGAATTAATCCCTAAACAACTGTCCATCCTTTTTTCCATCCTCTCCTGCAGGCCCAGCTGTCCCCAGCCTAGTCAGAGAGGAGAAAGGACTTTATCCTGATCCACTCTGGGCCTGGAGCTCTCTGTAGCCAATTTGTGGCATTACTGAGGAGAAAGATGCATTTGGGATCAGCCCACATCCCAGCCCCTGCTCGGCAGGAGGGCTGATGGGGCCTCAGGCTGTGAAAGAGAAAGTCTGAAAATGGCAGAAAGAGGCTGTTAATAAAAACAGGAGGGGTGTGGCTCAGGGGCTTGTGTACATAACACATTCATTCATGCAGATTCACAAAAGCCCATCTTTTTTCAGATACGAAGATACACACTCATAAAAGCAGAGACGCACTTTAAGATCCTGATATGTGTTTCCTCCCTACCTTATCCCCAACATATATAATAAAGTCATGAAATCACACAATACCTTCCAACCTTGCTCTCCCTCCCACAGAGTGGAGTTCTCCCAGAAAGCAATGTAGCCTGGGCCCAGAGCTTGGGGAGTAACTAACACCATTTGCATTTTTCCCAGGAAATGGGAAGAGCTGGTGTGGCATGTGGCAGCCCAAGCCCTCACACATCCCACTGACTGACATTTTGACATCCTTGAATTTGGCCGGGCTGCTCTGCGGAGACAAATCTTCCCCCTGTCCCTTCCCAGACAATCTCACTTCATTCTGACGGCTCTTGGCCCTAGCCTGTCAAACTAGGTCCTTGGTCCCTGAACACAGCACAACATGGGTACCTTCACACTAGCCCCGCTTCAAGAGGAACCAGATCACTCTTCTCTGTCTCAGTACTCTCCCAACACCAGCCCCCCACCGCTTCTCTTTTTAAGAGACAGGAAGGGCTGGGCACGGTGGCTTGCACCTGTAATCCCAGCACTTTGGGAGGTCTCAGTGGGTGGATTACAAGGTCAGGAGTTCGAGACCAGCCTGGCCAAGATGGTGAAACCCCGTCTTTACTTAAAAAAAAATATACAAAAAATATTAGCTGGGCGTGGTGGCGCATGCTATAATCCCAGCTACTCAGGAGGCTGAGGCAGGAGAATTGCTTGAACCTGGGAGGCAGAGGTTGCAGTGAGCCACTATCGCCCCACTATACTCCAGCCTGGGTGACAGAGCGAGACTCCGTCTCAAAAAAAAAAGAGACAGGATCTTGCTCTGTTGCCCAGGCTGGAGTGCAGTGGTGAGATCACAGCTCACTGCAGCCTCAACCTCCTGGGCTCAAGAAATCCTCCCACCTCAGCCTCCCATGTAGCTCGGACTAGAGGTGCATGCCACCATGCCTGGCTAACCAGCACCTCTCTTTTCAGTCCCTGCCCCATATTCACTCCCTTCAAGAAGTCTTCTCTAATTAAATCTGTTTTGTTCTAAATGATCTGGCTTCTCGGCACTCAGTAAGAAAATTGCTTTCTGTTTATTGCTTGTTGTCTGAGCTGTGTCAGGTCTGACTCATGAGCGTGCCATCTCCCCTACTAGATAAAGGCTTGTTGATCCTCCAAACAGCATCCCCTCCCTTCAGGGTCTGGTAGAATTCTGCCCTCAGGGTGGACTCAACAAAAGGAGTGCCCTCACATGACATAATTGTTAAGGTTTCAAGGCTGTTGGTTTGCAGAGGATCCTGATGGAGACCAGTGGCCTTAAGAAATAGGAGCAATGACATAGAGCTGGAGCCATTTGGGTTCCAGAGCTGAGAGCCCTTCCCAGAAATGACTGTCTAATGATTAGCATGGCTTGAGTAGAGAGCAGCCCCTCATCTGGTTTCAAAGGCAGAATATGCCTCCTGCTTATTTCCTTGAATTCCCTAGAAGAGTCTCCTATGCCAGGGAGAGTGTGGGACAGAGCCAGCCAGGTGAGAGTGCAGGGGAGGCCCTGGAAGGCAGGAGCCAGAGGCAGAGGAACAGAGGGAAGAAGGGGGAGGAAGATGACAGAAAGAAAGTGGGCTTGGGAAAAAGAGTCATAACAAAGGAAGAGAAACGGAAAGGGAAGAAAGATAAAAACTGACAAGAAAAATAAAGGAGGCTGGGCGTGGTGGCTCACATCCATAATCCTAGTGCTTTGGGAGGCCGAAGCGGGAGGAGGAGGATCGCTTGAGGCCAGGAGTTCAAAAGCAGAGAGAGGAATTGGGGGGCGGAGGGGATGGGGGTGATGGTGTGGGGAAAGAGAGAGAGACATTTTCTTACGGAAATTCTTAGTCTGGTCTAAGTCCTAAGTCCTTCATAAGGGCATTTGTTTTGGGAAGAGAGGAATGAGCAAGGAAAAGAGGATAGTGGAAAGGTTCTCTGGAGCCTGCTTCTCTCCCGAAGGCCTGATTTCCCCCAAAAGGCAACAGACATCTCTTCCCTGACTGATGGCTCAGACAGTGGGGTCTGTGAGGAGGGTGGAAGGAGCAGGAACTATCCAACCAGAGCATAGAACACTGAGCAGGACATCAGGGCCATTGTCCAGACCCCAAAGCCAGTGGTCTCCCTCCTGACACAGTCAGGACTTGTTAGCTGAACAAGGGAAAGAATGCCTTCTCCCTGACAAAGCTGGAGGAAGGGCTGGAAGCAGGATGGGGCCTGGGTTGTGTTGGCATCTTGGGAATCTCTCTTTAAAATTTCAGAGTTAGACCAGAGCAGCACCTTGTCCGGTAGATTACTGAAGTCTTGCCTAGAGGCTGGGGGAAGGAAGACAGGACCTCTACAGGTCACTAGGTACAAATGTATTATAAACGATTCAGACATACAAAGAGATACAAAGAATAGCATTAATGAGTGTGAAGCCCTGCTTAAGTAAACCACTGCTGCCACCCCCGAAGGTCCTGCTTATGCTCCTCTTCCTCCCCAGGTGACCGCTATTCTGAACTTGGCATTTATCCCTCTTGGGGAATTCTCTACCCTAGGATTCCTGCCTCTCCTCTGTTAGCCTCTGGCATCCCCCCAGCTCCCTCACATCAGGACTCCATTCATCCAGTGCTGCCTGATCGGGCTCCCCCTCCTGCCTGGCCTCTCTCTCCCTGCCGGGATGGCTGAGTAGACAATCAATATTTATGTGAAGCCACCAGGCCTAGCTTCCACAGGGAGGCCCAGCAGACAGAGGCAGAGAGTTGCCATCCCCAGCGTGGGCGGGTTTCAACTCAGACACAAAGCAAGTGAGGAGCCGTGCCGGGCCCAGGTGCCTGGCGTCTCTGGCTGGGCTGAGGCTTACAGGAGCCGGGAGCTGGCCAGACCCTGAGACTCCAGCCCTCATGCCTGGGGCCTCACATCTCATTCTGACAGCTCCTCCCATTCCTGCCTGAGGTTCATAGCTCTTGCCTGTTGACTCTGGTGATTGACCAGGTGAAATCCCTAAGTAAGGCTGGGGGATGGGGTGGGGGGCAGGGAAGTTGGGGGCTGGGAGGAGAATAAGAAGCAACTTATTCACTCCCAGGGTACAAGGCAGCACCACAGCTGTCTGGCTGGTGGGGACTTTGGAGAGCAGTCTATTTGCATTCCAGGGCTCCAGGCCACCCACCAGCAGCCCCCTCCTCTCCAGATGTTTATACATCATGTTCCTGGAGACCCTGCTCTCCAGCATTCTACCTGGGTCACCCCTCCTCTTCTCAGAGTGGCCTCTTGCTTCTGGTCCAGGTTCCGTCTTCCTCAGGAAGTCTCTCTTGGTTAAGCCTCCCTGGCTCTTACTACTTATCCCCCTACATTCCGTCCATTCTCACATGATCAACTGGCACAATGGTCATTTCCTCTTATGAAATTTCAGCCTGTGTGCTGTGAAGTAGCTTTCCTTCCTCTACAAGCTTCTGGATAGCAGGGACCATGGCTGATCCATCTTGGGCGTCTCTCGCAGCCCTTTTCACAAGTGGCTCCGTAAGTGCTAAAGGACCAAATGACCTCTGAAGGTTTCTCAAGAATGGGGCTGCTCATGTCTTATCTTTTCTTGGAGCCAATAAAGGCATACCCATTCTTGATTGTTGAGTGAGTGGAGAAAACTCCCAGAAAAATCACTGCAGCTGACCACTCAATCTCCTTTTCCCACACACTGCTCACCTGCCCACCCCTAGGCCCCCCAAGCAGCAGAAGCACCCACCATGCTGGCATCACGCCGCTATGAAGCCCCTGGCTGATCTTGTTTGGGTTTCAGGAGACTGGTTTGAGGGCTTCTGTACTCATTTATCAGTCTCCACAATGTTTGTAAAAACCACCCAGAATGACAAAGGCAAGATTTCTGCAGCTTTCCTGCTTCCACACTCACAGTTTTACCAGATATTTGATCTTCACAGGTGGATCTCTATTATACAGGTGAGGAAACTGAGGCTTACAGATGGAGCAATTGATCTGGAGCTCCCAGTGTGGACGCAGGTCTTCTGACTCTAGTCTACCACACTGCCCCGACACCGCTCAGCCCCTCTCACCCTCTGACATAGCTCTCACAAACCATCACAGGAAAGGTATCTCCGCCTTTGGGCTGGATACAAAGGTCTTTGAAGATGATTCAAAGCTGGATGCAAGAAAGGAGAAGACTGAGAAGGTCTTTAGGTCTGTGCAGGGCCGCGGCTGCCCTTGGGGTTTCTTGCCACCAGGTGGGGCATAGCAGTTCCTAATAGAGGCCAACTCTGTCAGGCAAGAGGGTTGCCACTAGTGAGCCAGTGATCTTTGCCTGGTGATCTCCACACTTCCTTCCATCCACCAGTAACTAGGACAACGTCATAGACGGTCAAGCAGCACAGATACACTCTGGGAGGCCCTGAGGCCTTCAAGAATCAGCAAGGCCTCCCTAAGCTTAGTCAGACATGAGCAACACTCAGGCTTTCCTTCCCTTGGGTTTTTCCAGGGACCAGGTGGTTACAGCTGCCACATTCTGAGGACTTAGCACAGAGCCCCTCTGCTAAGCACACACCTACATCATCATATAACTTCCTCACTAAAAGAATTCATGAGGAAAGTGTATCCTTGTTTACAAATGAGCCAGTGGGGGCCAGGCACGATGGCTCATGCCTGTAATCTCAGCACTTCGGGAGGCCGAGGCGGGTGGATCACCTGAAGTCAGGAGTTCGAGACAAGCCTGGCTAACATGGTAAAACCCTGTTTCTACTAAAAATATAAAAATTAGCTGGGTGTGGTGGGGTGGCACGTGCCTGTGATCCCAGCTACTCAGGAGGCTGAGGCAGGAGAATGCTTGAACCCGAGAGGCAGACGCTGCAATGAGCCAAGATTGTGCTATGGGTGACAAGGCAAGACTCCGACTCAAAAAAAAAAAAAAGGAGCCAATGGGACACAACAAGGTTAAGTAACTTGTCTGAAGACTTGTAGCTAGTGAGTGGCAGTGTACCCAGGTCTTTCTTGTGTGTGTGTGTGTGTGTGTGTGTGTGTGTGTGTGTGTGTGTTTT
Source organism: Homo sapiens (assembly GCF_000001405.40). Classification (NCBI taxonomy): domain Eukaryota; kingdom Metazoa; phylum Chordata; class Mammalia; order Primates; family Hominidae; genus Homo; species Homo sapiens. The sequence continues at coordinate 203,594,622 of NC_000001.11, forward strand.
GAGACAGAGTTTCGCTCTTGCTGCCCAGGCTGGAGTGCAATGGAGTGATCTAGGCTCACTGCAACCTCTACCTCCTGAATTCAATTGATTCTCCTGCCTCAGCCTCCCGAATAGCTGGGATTACAGGCACACACCACCACGCTCGGCTAATTTTGCATTTTTCGTAGAGACAGGGTTTTTCCATGTTGGTCAGGCTGGTCTTGAACTCCCAACCTCAGGTGATCCACCCACCTCGGCCTCCCAAAGTGCTGGAATTACAGGCGTGAGCCACTGAGCCAGATCCCAAACCCAGGTCTTTCTAAAGCTAATCTCTACAACCTCTCCACTATGCTGCTCCCTGTAAGCCTTCCTACTCATTAGGACTGCATTCCTTCTTGTGAATTAAATTAAAAACAAAACAAAACAGACTGCATCTTGACTAGGCCAGGAAATTTACATTTTGTTTGGCTTTGTTTTTGTTTTAGATGGGGTCTTACTCTGTCACCGAAGCTGGAGTGCAGTGGCACGATCTCAGCTCACTGCAGCCTCTGCCTCCCATGCTCAAGTGATCCTCCCATTTCAGCCTCCTAGGACCACAGATGCAAGCCACCATGCCTGGCTAATTGTTTGTATTTTTGGTAGAGACAGGGTTTTGCCATGTTGCCCAGGCTGTTACTTTTTTTTTTCTTTTTCAATAGAAACAGGGTCTTGCTCTGTCGCCCAGGGTGGAGTGTAGTAGCTCACTGCAGCCTCAAACTCCCAGGCTCAAGTGACTCTCCCAAGTAGCTGGGACTACAGGCACACACCACCACATCTGGCTACTTTTTATAATTTTTTGTAGAGATGGGGTCTCATTATGTTGCCCAAGCTGGTCTCAAACTTCTGGCCTCAAGTGATGCTCCCACCTTGGCCTCCCAAAGTGCTGAGATTACAGACGTGAGCCACTACACCAGCCTATTTTTAATTGTTATTCTTTGTTTTTAATAAGTCATATGTTCAAATAATTTATAAGTTACCAAAAATTATCTTATTAAAAGTCTTGGCTTATGCCTGTAATCCTAGCATTTTGCAAGGCCAAGGCAGCAGGATTGCCAAGGCAGCAGCAAGGCCAACTTGAGGTCAGGAGTTCAAGACTAGCCTGGCCAACATAGCGAAACCCTGTCTCTACTAAAAATACAAAAATTAACCAGGCGTGGTGGTGCAGGCCTGTAGTCCCAGCTACTCAGGAAGCTGAGGCAGGAGAATTGCTTGAACCCAGGAGGCAGAGGTTGCAGTGAGCTGAGATCGCTTCCCTGCACTCCAACCTGGGCGACAAAGTGAGATGAAAGAAAGAAAGAGAGAGAGAGAGAGGAAGGAAGGAAGGAAGGACTTCCAGTCTCCTTTTTTTTTTTTTTTTTTTGAGACAGAGTCTCGCTCTGTCACCCAGGCTGGAGTGCAATGGCACGATCTGGGCTCACCGCAACCTCCGCCTCCTGGGTTCAAGCGATTATCCTGCCTCAGCCTCCCGAGTAGCTGGGATTACAGGCGTGTGCCACCATGCCCGGCTAATTTTTCTATTTTTAGTAGAGACGGGGTTTCACCATGTTGGCCAGGCTGGTCTCGAACTCCTGACGTCAGGTGATCTGCCCACCTTGGCCTCCCAAAGTGCTGGGATTATAGACATGAGCCACTGCGCCCGGCCTTCCTTCCAGTCTTGATTCCCAAGCATATACTCACCCTTCCCAGAAGCAACTGATGTTGCCGGGCACGGTGGCTCACGCCTATAATCCTAGCACTTTGGGAGGCCAAGGTGGGTGGATCATCTGAGGTCGGGAGTTCGAGATCAGCCTGACCAACATGGAGAAACCCCGTCTCTACTAAAAATACAAAAAAATAATTAGCTGGGCATGGTTGTACATGCCTGTAATTCCAGCTACTCGGGAGGCTGAGGCAGGATAATCGCTTGAACCCGGGAGGCGGAGGTTGCGGTGAGCCCAGTTCGTGCCATTGCACTCCAGCCTGGGCAACAAGAGCGAAACTCCGTCTCAAAAAAAAATAAAAAAATAAAGCAACTGATGTTACTATCTCCTGAATGTCCTTCCATATATACATTATGCAAAACAAGTAATTCTGCATAAATATTCCTTCCCTCACTCTTTCTACACAGATGACAAGATATTATACACATCACTCTGTGCTTGAATTTTGTACTAAACAATGAGTTCTGGGGATTATCCCATATCCAGACATAAAGTGTCTTTCATTTCTCTTGATGACTGCAGAGTATTCCATTGTTGACAAATCCATTTAACCAGGCTTCTATGATGGATGTTTAGGTTGTTTCCAATCTTTTGCTATTAAAAAGAATGTGACAGTGAGAAACTTTGTGTATAGTGTCATTTTGCACATGTGCAAGGCCATCTGTAGGATAAATTTCTAGACATGAAACTGCTGAGTAAATAGGCTCTGGAATTAAACACTCCCAAAGTGAGGCAGAATCAAATGGGGGAAGAATAGACTGGTGCCTTTTATCCTGTCTGTCACTTCCCAGCTGTGCGATCTCAAGCAAGGTAGCCTCTCTATGCCTTGGTTCCTAGTCTGTGAAAGTGCTTGCCTTCTTGGAAAGTAGCTGCCAGGGTTCAAGTCAAAGGGGTAATATATATATATAAAGTGCCCAGCATGAAGCCTGGCTTAGAGGGTTACTAAACGATAGAGAAATGATCATTTTCCTTGTTCCCCAATCCTGGGGAGGAGGTCTCCCACTGGCCTGTCCCTCTTTCCTTCCTTCCCCCTCCTCTATTGCTTTATTGCACTCCTAATGGCTCCTTATGCCATCTGCCTGGCAATCTAGTTCTTTGTGCGTGCATCCCTTACCCACCAGATAATAAGCTTCTGGAAAACAGACAGCCTGTCTCACTCATTTCGGGAACACCCTCACCACCTATCGCAGGTCCTGGCACACAGCAGTTGCTTGGTAAAGGTCTGCTGAATTGAAAGCAGCTCTGGAAAGTGTCCCTCACAGCTCAGCCTCCTAGATTCTTGGTGCTTTAGCAAAGACACAAGGGTCACCTCCAGCCAGCAGGCTGAAGAGGCGGCCAGCCTCCCTTTCATCCGCACTGAGATGGGATCATCAGTAAAGTGTTTTCATGCCATATTTGAAATCCCCAGCTTCTGCATCCACCCATGTCCCCACAGCCACCCCCACACACAGAGCTGGTATAAAACATTCAGATATTCTCCCTCTGGGGAGGTGGGTGGAGAATCTTCCCTGGCCCCTCTCCATCCCCCTCCTTCGTGTGTCCCCGGTTTGGACTGCACACCAGCAGGGAGATCATCGCTAGGGACCGTTGCCCAGAGAGCGTAGAGAAGTGGGAGGAAATCATTTCAATTTCTCTTTGGGAGCATAAATGCTTTTTTAATTGCTGTCAAAGGCGGCTCCTTGGGAATGTATTATTGATAGCGGTTGAAACGAAAAAGAAGAAAAAAAGCAGCAGTCTCTCCTTTGCTGGCATGAATGCCCTCCCTCTCTGGCCCTCTCACCTCCACTCTTCCCTCCCCTGCCAGATTCCAGGCCTGAGTTCCTTCTCCGTTCCCCTCTTCTCACCAGCCTGTGAGATTTTGTTGGCCCGTTGCTCCCTTCGTCTCTCTTTTCCTGCCTTGTAGGAGCTCTGTGGCCCCCACTTCCTGTCTCTGTCACCATCTTGTCCCTCTTGCTCTCCAACCTCACCTTTAGCTTTGCTTGGCCTTGCTTTTTATCCCTGGAACCCCCTCCTCTGTCTTCAATGTCCACTGTTTAGCCATCGCTTTATTCTAGCTTCTCCCTTCCTTTCCCATCCAACTCTTCTAACTGCTGCTCCCTTCTAAACCTCTCTCAGCCCCTCCTTCTCCCCCTTTTCTGCCTGGGCTCCTTGTTTTGGGTCTTGGACCCTCAGCTATTGCCTCTCCAACCATAAATGAGGCTGGACCAGCCATAGGAACCCAAACCTGGGATATAGACATTTTTTATTTCCATTCTCCTTTCTCTCAGGCCTCCACCCATTCCCCATATTCCCAGCCTTTAATTCTTGGTATGTCCCCTGCTGGCTGTGTGGGGCCAGCACCAGGAGGGGTTCTGAAGCTCTGAGACAGTCTCTGAGGACTTCAGGTACACAGAAACCCCAAGTTCCTTCCTGCCTTCAAGCCAGTGTCTCAGGATCTTTCCCCATCATGGAGTTGGCTCTGCAGTAGGTCTGAGTTTCCTCTCTTTCCTTTACTTGGGAAGCTGCGCAGGCTTCAGGGTGGCTGGACGCCCCAGGCTCCCACAAGGGCCTCTGTGCCTTTAAGAAGGCACAAGCCTTCAGACAACACAAGCTCCTCCCAACACCCCCTCCCCAGCTGAGGGGAGAGGGAGCAAAGCTAGATATTCCAGCATAGCCCCCTCCAGACAAGCTCATAAATAATGGCTGATCTTCCCATAGGGCACAGGAGCTGTTCCGCTCTTGTGGAGCCTGGCAGAAGGGTGACAAGACTCATTTATCTCCTGTTCTCTCACTGGGTCTTCCTTTTTCTCTCTTTCCTTGTCCACTTCTCCCTCCCAGAGCCTAGGAGAAAGGGGGAATGGGATAAGGAAGAGGTGAGTTCAGTTTCTTGCTCTCCAGGCTCTCAACACACCTGCCCACATCACCACCCACAAATGTTTACTGAGCAGCTACTAAGTACTGCTGACTTACACAGCAAAGCACACCCAGCCCTTTCTCCTTCCCCTAGACCCTCCCACCCCACACAGTCAGTGGGGCTGATCAGAGCTTCGCCTCATATCTCAAAAGGGCCAGAGCTATGCCTCGAAAGTAGTTGCTGTGGGCCAGCCATGGTGGCTCACGCCTGTAATCCCAGGACTTTGGGAGGCCAAGGCAGGCAGATCTCTTGAGGCCAAGAGTTCAAGACCAGCCTGGCCAACATGGCAAAACCCATCTCCACTAAAAACACAAAAATCAGCCGGGCGTGGTGGCGGGCGCCTGTAATCCCAGCTACTTTGGAGGCTGAGGCAGGAGACTTGCTTGAACCCAGGAGGCGGAGGTTGCAGTGAGCTGAGATCATGCCACTGCACTCCAGCCTGGGCAACAGAGCGAGATTCTGTCTCAAAAACAAACAAAAAAAAAGTAGTTGCTGTGAAAGCAAACTTAGTTTCATATGATGGTGGCATAATTTTAGATTTTTAACCAAAATGTACCGAATTTCCCATATATCTCTAGGACAGTTCCCCAGTTCCTGCTTCTCCTCCCTGACGCTGGGGCTTCACCACCTCCTCCCCTCTTTCCAGGGCTCCCCCATGTCCCATCAGTCCAACCAGCTCCCAGTCCAACCAGCTCTGGATCCAGATCCCAAGAGAGGGTTCTTAGATCTCACACAAGAAAGAATCCGAGGCAAATACATACAGTAAAGTGAAAGCAAATTTATTACGAAAGTAAAGGGGCTGTTCTGCCTATGGAGTAGCCATTCCTTTGCTTTCTTAATAAACTTGCTTTCACTTAAAAAAAAAAAAAGTAAAGGAATAAAGAATGGCTACTTTATAGGCTGAGCAGCCCCGAGGGCTGCTAGTTGCCCATTTTTATGACTATTTCATTTGTAAACTGTCATGGGACTGGTGAGAGTGTAGCAGTGAGGATGACCAGAGGTCACTCTCTTCACCATCTTGTTTTGGTGGGTTTTAGCCAGCTTATTTACTGCAAACTGTTTTATCAGCAAGGTCTTTGTGACCTGTATCTTGTGCCAATCTCCTATCTCATCCTGTGACGTAGAATGCCTAACTATCTGGGAATGTAGCCCAGTAGGTCTCAGCCTTATTTTACCCAGCTCCTAGTCAAAATGGAGTCACTCTGGTTCAAATACCTCTGACACTAGGAGTCTGATTCAGTTCAGCTGGGTCTCACTTCCTGACCTGTTTCCACCTCAGTGCTCTAACCTGCCCATTGCCCCCTCAGCCTGAGGAAGCAGGTTTCTTTCAAGCACGTCTGAGGCTGCACTCTCACTATGCAGTACCACACTCCCACCCTCACTGAAAGGCAGGCCACCCCGCCCCCACAGCCCTGCCTCCATTACACAAAGATCCACCTCACCCCCACCAGAGGCCCCAGGCTAACTGGAAGGACCCTAGGCCGCATTATGGACTGTCTTGGGGACAGCTAGAGGCAGGCCTGCACCCAGATGAAGATGTGGGGAGGCAGAACAGAGTCTGGAGTCTGGAGAATTGGGCTGTCTCTTGGTTCCAATAGTGCTGTGGCAGATAAACAATTACCGAGGGCTTTCTGCAGGCCAGCCAGACAGGGGCCTAGCCTGGGACTACTACTGTTCCCCCTCTAGGCTGCCCCCACCAGCTAGCTCTCTGCACCACACGGAACCGGAACCCGAACACTGAGCCGCACTCCCATGTCCAGCCACATCTGCTTGCTCTCCATCTCACCTTCTTCTTCATCTCCCTTTCCCTAAAACTTTTCTGAGCCTCTTCTTGTTTTCTCCCCATTTCTTCAATTTCTTCCCTGCCCTCTCCTTCTTTATTTCTCTTTCTTTTCCCCTCCTCTCTTCCCCTCTCCTGTTCTCCTCCAGAGTTCTTCCCTCCCCTCCCCATCCATCCCCCAAGTCCACACCCCATCCCTCCTGCCACTATATTTAGCTCCCAGCCGGGGCTTTAGAAAGGCGCCACTGCTGGAGCTGGCGTCTAGTCTTGAAGGGTCTGTCAGCATTTCCATAAGAGGCTCAGCTGGGATGAGTTTATGACTGAGCTATTTTCTTTCCTTGCCTCACCGGCCCTGGGCTGAGCATAAGCAGAAAGGGGACCTCCAGGTACATTGGAGAGTTCTCCCCTGACATGGGCAAGCTCTTCCAAAGAAAAAGGAACTATGGGTTAAATCTTAGGTGAATCTGGGACCTAGGTAACTAGCAATTTGTGGGGCACAGCGAGTTAGGACTCTGCTATTGGTTAGGAACTCCCAGAGCCTGAGGGCAGAGCCTTCCTAGCCAGAGCGGGAGCAAATGTTTGCCCTCAGGATTCATCATATGACCTAAGCAACTTTGAAAGACTTCTTTCCCCAAAGTATTCACCAGCCTGCTATGGTCTCTGTAATCCCCACTGTTATAGCCATTTCTTTCTGTTAAACCAATGCCTCTAGAAGACCTCCTATAAAAATCATTTCCAATATTTGATGGACACATTACTAAGTGGTTTGAACACACCATTGCTTTTGATCCTCACAATTTAGCACTTTGATGAAACTTGCTGAGGACACTCAGTTCATTTTTATTTTTATTTTTTGAGACAGGATCTAGCTCTGTTGCCCAAGCTGGAGTGTAGTGACGCAATCTCTGCTCACTTCAGCCTAGACCTTCTGGGCTCAAGCGATCCTCCCACCTCAACCTCCCAAGTAGCTGGGACTACAGGCATGTGCCACCATGCCTGGCTAATTTTTGTACTTTTTGTGGAGATGGGGTTTTGGCATGTTGCCCAGGCTGGTCTCATGAACTCCTGGGCTCAAGCAATCCACCAGCCTCGGCCTGTAGTGCTTGGACTGCAGGTATGAGCCACCCCACCCGGCCAACACCCAGCTTAGTAGCAGTCAAGCCTAAGCTTGAATGCAGGTCTTGCACCTCCGACTGTTGTACTTTCTTCACCACACTGAATGAAACTGCCGCCCTGGGTAGACCAAGAATTTACAGCTACAAGGCCAGAAGCTTCAGCAGCAGGTTCAGAGACCTGGCTGGAATCCTGGCTCTACTACTTAAGTGTTATGTGGCCTTGGGCAGGTCACTTCACTACAGTGAGTCCCTCAGAGGACCGTTATGAGGACATAATGACCTAAATGCTCAACAGATAGGTGTTAATAAAGGGTAAATAGTATCACTTTCATGTTAACAGAGCCAGATCCCTGAAAGTGGGGGATGTGGGACAACCAAGTTCCATGGGACAGGATAGCAGGGATCTGGAGAGGTGTGGGCTGTGGCATGCGTGAGATGAGCAGCAGACCTGGCTAGCATGTGCAGGTGCAGGGGCATGGGGCAGCAAATGCCAACCACCATGTAGTCCCTTGAGTGGGATGATACATAAACACCATTCACATCTATCTGTTCATTTACTCCCAAAGGCTGAGGATGGCTGTAAGTGGGAGACAGAGCCAGCATTATTATCCCCATTTTACAGGTATGGAGACCAAGGTCCAGAAGAGGAAAGTAATCTGCCCAAGGTCACAGCTAATTATTTCATTCATTTGTTCACTCTCTCATTGAAGATATATATATATATATAGTCTACATATAGAGAGAGAGACTCCAGGCTGGAGTGCAGTGGTGTGATCTTGGCTTACTGCAACCTCTGCCTCCCAGGTTCAAGTGATTCTCCTGCCTCAGCCTCCCAAGTAGCTGGAATTACAGGCGCCCACCACCATGCCTGGCTAATTTTTGTATTTTTAGTAGAGATGGGGTTTCACCATGTTGGCCAGGCTGGTCTCAAACTCCTGACCTCAGGTGATCCGTCATCCTCGGCCTCCCAAAGTGCTGGGATTACAGGCGTGAGCCAGTCACTGCGCCTTGCCTTCTCATTGGATATATAGTGAGCATCTACTACATGCAGATGCTGTGTTATACACTGGACATACTCAGTGACAGAGCTAGAATCAGAACCCAGGACCGGGACACCTGTCCCATGAATTCTCCAGTATAAGACTGCCATGCAGCCTTAGGGCCAGAGTTACTGGTTCTACTGGTGACAAGTAGGGACTGACCATAGGTAGAGGACAAAGGTGCACCCTGTATGGATCATCTCTAACCCTTTGGCCTTACCCAACCCCCACCCCATACTAGCTTGGGAAAGCCACATTGCAATGTTTCCCTGAAAGGCGGGCAAAGAAGTTGCAGAGTAAAGAGACCTCGGGCGAGCATAGTTCTCGATCCCTTGGGTCCTTAGTCTTTCTAGAGCCCAACCACAAATGCCATATCTACCACCCCATGACAAGATGGCTGTTCCCCTCCAACAGGAGCAGCTGGAGGGTCCCCCAGGATCCAGAAATCCTGACTATTAGGTTAGAGCAGGGCTTCAGAGACTTCAAGTGAACTGGAGGACAGAGATACTCCATCCCATTCACCTTCCTGGGACAAAGGAAGTTACTTCCTGGCTTCTCTCTGAATGCTACACTAATTCTTCCTCCTGGGATAAGAACATCATTTATAGCATCAGATAATGTAGATGGGTTAAAGGGTGGGAGAAACAGAGGTAGAGTAACTTCAAGAGTTGTAAATAGGACCATGAGGTTGCCCAAGGAGATGTGCAATTTCCCTAAATCTCTCCCATCCATCCATGGCCCATCCACACACCCACTTGAATATCTACCCACCCACCCACCCATCCATCCACCCACCCACCCACCCATCCATCCACCCACCCACCCATCCATCCATCCACCCATCCATCCATCCATCCATCCATCCACCCACCCACCCATCCATCCATCCATCCACCCATCCACCCATCCATCCATTCATCCACCCATCCATCCATTCATCCACCCAACCATCCATTCATCCATCCACCCAGCCATCCATTCATCCACCCACCCAGCCATCCATTCAACCATCCACTCAATATAGTTTATTGGGCATCTATAAGGCAAATGCTAACATTAGTGTTTTCCTCTCTCTCCTGCTTCTTTTTCTTCACAAGATCCAAGGGTAAGAAGGCGGCAAATATCCAAGGGTAAGAAAGCAGGAAATATTTTTTCTAGAGATTATCTCTTCAACCAATCAGCCTCTACTAAAAACCAAGCTAATTCCCCAGATAAACCAGCTTCCCCCAGCTGCTGGTACCTGTGATGAACAATCTTTCCTGCCCAGAAGCTTTTATTGTGTTTAACTTGAAGCCCTCCAGCACCATCTATGCTGCATTTGCTGCTCTCACCTGAACACTTCTTCTCCCCTTTGCTGTTCTATTTTTCATTTGCTCCCTTATTCTCATGGCCTCCAGGAAAGAGCTTAGACCTGGAGTCAGAAAACTTCATTTTGAATTCTAGCTCTTTCAGTCACAGTTGAATGACCATAGCCAGTTTCTCCATCTGCAAAATGAGTATAATAATACCCAGTTGTTGTGAGGATCAAATGAGATAATGGATGGGAAGCAGTTTTGTAAACTGTAAATGGCCTTACTCATGTGAAGGTTTATCATTAATTCCCCCTGTTTCTCTGACACCAAAGAGAGACAAGCTGGGGAAGGCAACAGGACTCTAGGTCAGAGCTGAGAATGATGCATTTGAACCCTAACTCTGCCCTCTGGCTCTCCAGGAGACCGTGGGAAAGCCATGAAACCTCTGAGCCTCGGTTTCCTCACCAGGAAAGGAGTCATTAGATCCATGTGCTTCCACCAGCTGGGGAGAGGAGTTGCTTGTAAACAGTGATGGCTCACTCTCTATTTTAGAGATGCTTCTGAGCTCACCACCACCAATTACCATTTATTGAACACACAAGATGCTATATCCTGGGCTGGGTAACTAGAACTTCCAAAGGCCTAGGCCTTGACCAGGGATGGCAGACTACCTACCCTAGCCCTGTCGAGGAGCTGAGCAAGGCACCCTCTCACCACACGTGTTTCCCTGCCTTCTCTGCTCCTGCATAACTCAAGTAGAAGTGACAGGCCTTATCCCTGGTATAGGCCACCAACATATGGCAGGACCCTAAATAATCAGAAAAAGGAGGATTTCCTTGTCAAGTCTGAGACTACTCAGCTGCCAAGGACTGCTAATCTCTGCTTCTCATTGTCTCTCACAGCTGCACCTCCTTTCTGCTTCTGCTGTCCTCCTGGAGGATTCTCAAGCTGACGTTGTTGTGTAACCTACTAGTGGATCCCCACAGCTTCGGCATTGCTTCTCTCCCATTCCTTCCACCCACTGCTGTCATATTAATCTTCCCAAAATGCTGCTTTGGCCTCTCAGTTTCCTCTTGGACACCTTCAATGATGCTTTGTTGTCTAGAAGACAAAACAACATTTTGAAATCAAGCTGACCTGGTGCCAATCCTGGCCCTGCCACTGATGGGCAGGTTACTCCAACCTCTCTGAGCAACCAGTTTCTCAACTGCAAAATGAGGCCAATAGTACTGCTATCATGTTACTGTGATTAAACCTTAAGATACAGTTATATGCCACATAATGACATTTTGGTCACCAACACACTGCATATACGATTGTGGTCCCATAAAAACTATAATATCAGTCAGGAGTTCGAGACCAGCCTGGCCAACATGGCGAAACCCCATCTCTACTAAAAATACAAAAATTAGTTGGGCGTGGTGGCAGACACCTGTAATCCCAGCTACTCGGGAGGCTGAGGCAGGAGAATTTCTTCAACCTGGAAGGTGAAGGTTGCAATGAGCCTAGATCACGCCACTGCACTCCAGCCTGGGTGACAACAGTGAGACTTCATCTCAAAAAATAAATAAATAAATAAATAAATAAATAAATAAATTATAATACCATATTTTCATGGTACCTTGTCTATGTTTAGATATGTTTAGACACCAGTGTGTTATAATTGCCTATAGTACAATAACATGCTGTACAGGTTTATAGCCTAGGAGCAATAGGCTATACCATCCAGCTTAGGTGTGTAGTAGGCTACACCATCTAGGTTTGTGTGGGTATACCTATGATGTTTGCAAAACAATGAAATCACCTAACAATGCATTTCTCAGACTGTAGCTCTGTTTGTTAAGTGACTCAGGACTGTTTATGTAAGGCACGGTGCCTAGCTTGTAGAAATTACTCAGTATACGTTAGCTCTTTCCCTTTTCCTCTCCTCTTTTCTTTGGTATTACTTCCCTCCATGGTCTCCACAAGCAAGGGGCACGGTGTGAGCCTAATTGTACATCTACCCTGGGAATTCTGGAACCCTGATGCTGACAACCAATACATCACATTTACAAGGGCCAGGAGGGCACTGAGAAAAAGGTAAAGGCCTTTGGGATTGAGCATCAGGCTGCTGAAACATCAGGCTTGAGGCTTCAAGCAAAAAGGGAAGATGAAGGCTGCCCCCTGTACTGTGAGTGTGGCGAGGCCTGGGAAGGCAGAAAACACACCCTGAGATAAGAACACTGGTTCTTGATCTATAAGAAAGACATTGTGGGCCGGGCGCGGTGGCTCGTGCCTGTAATCCCAGCACTTTGGGAGGTCGAGGTGGGCGGATCACAAGGTCAGGAGATCAAGACCAGCCTGACCAATATGGAGAAACCCCGTCTCTACTAAAAATACAAAAATTAGCCTGGTGTGGTGGCATGTGCCTATAATCCCAGCTACTCGGGAGGCTGAGGCAGGAGAATCGCTTGAACCAGGGAGTCGGAGGTTGCAGTGAGCCGAGATCGCGCCACTGCACTCCAGCCTGGTGACAGAGTGAAACTCCATCTCAAAAAAAAGAAAGACCTTGTTAGATAACTTAGCTAGGCATGGTGCCAGGCACCTGTAATCCCAGCTACTCGGGAGGCTGAGGCAGGAGAATCATTTGAACCTGGGAGGTGAAGGTTGCAGTGAGCTGAGATCGCACCATTGCACTCCAGCCTGGGCAACAAGAGTGAAACTCCATCTCAAAAAAAAAACAAGAAAGACATTGTTAGATAGCATTGAGCATATCACTTAAATGGCCTTGGCTCACCCCCTGGGGAAATCATGTTCTTTCAAAGACACTATAAAACAAACAAACAAAAAAAGCAACAGTAGCTACAGAGTTCCTGCTCCAGCAACCAGGAGCCTTGAGGCAGCACAAGGACACCGGGGCGGGAGCGTGGCCCAAGAAGCAGAGACAGCAACAACAACAGGATGACTTCATTTACTGAGTTATCAAAAACCACAATGTCTGAAAACCACAATGTCTGCCAAGAAAGAGGATGAGTCACCAAGACCCACAGGAAAGAGGGGCTGGGGTGGGTTGGGGTGGGCAGCATGGCATGATGAGAAAAGCAAGTATTTTGACAGCACACAGATTCAAATCCTGACACATCTCTGAGGCCTTCAGCTCTCTGGGTCTCAGCTTCCTTTATCTTTAGTTTTTATTTATTTTTATTTCAAAAGAAATGAGATGGAGTCTTCTCTGTTGCCCAGGCGGGAGAGCAATGGTGCAATCTTGGCTCACTGCAACCTCTATCTCCTGGGTTCAATTGATTCTCCTGCCTCAGCCTCCCGATTAGCTGAGATTACAGGTGCATGCCAGCACACCGGCTAATTTTTGTATTTTCAGTAGAGATGGATTTTACCATTTCGGCCAGGCTAGTCTCGAACTCCTGACCTCAAGTGATCCACCCATCTGGGTCTCCCAAAGTGCTGAGATTACAGGTGTGAGACACCATGCCCAGCCCTCAGCTACCTTATCTTTAAAAATGGGAAAGAGCCAGGCACAGTGGCTCACATCTGTAATCCCAGCACTTTGGGAGGCCAAGGCAGGTGGATCACGTGAGGTCAGGAGTTCGAGACCAGCCTACGTGGTGAAACCCCATCTCTACTAAAACTACAAAAATTAGATGGGCGTGGTGTCATGTGTCTGTAGTCCCAGCTACTAGGGCAGCTGAGGCAGGAGAATCACTTGAACTTGGGAGGCAGAGGTTGCAGTGAGCCAAGATTGCCCCACTGCATTCCAGCCTGGGTGACAGAGGGAGACTCCATCTAAAAACAACAACAAAAAAAAAAACAGCAGGGGATGGGGGAGGTAGTAATAATAGTGCTTATTTCATGGGGTTGTTTTTTTTGTTTTGTTTTCTTTTGCTTTTTGAGACAGAGTCTCGCTCTGTCACCCAGGCTGGAGTGCAGAGGCACAATCTCGGCTCACTGCAAGCTCCACTTCCCGGGTTCACGCCATTCTCCTGCCTCAGCCTCCTGAGTAGCTGGGACTACAGGCGCCCGCCACCACGCCCAGCTAATTTTTTTGTATTTTTAGTAGAGACGGGGTTTCACTGTGTTAGCCAGGATGCTCTCAATCTCCTGACCTCGTGATCCATCCACCTCGGCCTCCCAAAGTGCTGGGATTACAGGCATGAGCCACCACGCCAGCCCAGGATTGTTTTAAGGATTTAGTGAGTCCTTTATCTGTATAAAGCACTTCAGCAACAAATGGTATTCACTATTTTGATATCCAAGTTCTTGATTTTCCCCAAAGTTGTTAAGAGTCACACTGTCATCTTCCACTGACCCCCAACAGAAACCCTTGGCTTCAATTTTGATATTCCTTGAGGGATGATTCCTCTAAAGCTCAGGCCTCCCTGCCTTGGTTCCAGCCGTTCCCTGGGAGGCCAGGCCTGCCTGGTCTAGATCCTGAAACCTTCAAGATCCACATCAACTCCTGATGGACTTTCTCTGACAATCCCAGTGTCCACTCATCTCACCACTCTGAACATACAGCATTTCTCTTCTGATCCACTCAACAACACATCACAGACCATTCTAGGACACTCCAGGCTAGAGTGCAATGGCGCGATCTCAGCTCACTGCAACCTCCACCTCCAGGGTTCAAGCGATTCTCCTGCCTCAGCCTCTCAAGTAGCATGCACCACCACACCCGGCTAATTTTGCATTTTTAGTAGGGACGGGGTTTCTCCATGTTGGTCAGGCTAGTCTCGAATTCCCGACCTCAGGTGATCCGCCCGCCTCAGCCTCCCAAAGTGCTGGGATTACAGGCCTGAGACACCACACCCGGCCCATGCCTTGCTTTAGTATGTCACTGGTTCATTCTTCATGTGTGTAAGTGTTTACATCCAACTATACCACAGCCTTTTTGTAACTCTTCCTGCAGCTGGTACAAAGCCAGTCACATACTTGAAGTTAAAGCTATTTGTGTTCTGAATAAACAAATGGACTTAGCTTAGTTAGTGCATTAGCCTAATGGGATTGGGGCTTAGGGTCCAGGATATAGATGGCTCCCAGAGTCCAAGCCACCCATACTGCTCTGTGCCACTGGCCAACCAGGCACGAGATGAGCGAGCGTGAGTGAGCCTCCCATCACCACAGCCAGAATTAAGGCACAAGCCCTGCAGAGGGACCCCGAGGGCTTTTCTTCCTCTACCTTCCTGTTTTCCATGATACTGATTCAGTTCAAGGTGGCTGGGGCCTTTAGGAAGGAAAATAACCAGGCAGACCCAAACTGAGACATCAATGCAGACATAGCTACAGAGGCTGGGGCTGGGGCAAACCTCAGGCAAGCTAGGAACAGCGTCCAAGGGAACACAAGTGTCTCCATGCTAATGTGAAATCAGGTGGTGCTGGGTATCTCATCAGCCTAATAGGGCATAGTGCAGGCAGTCCATGGGGCAGCCAATTGTCTGGGTTCCACAAGGGGGTGGCGGTCATTGAAGGAACAGTTTGAATCCAGAAGGGCCCCAGCATCCAGCCTCAGGGAGGCATCTGTGAACGCCTCCCCAGATGCACACAGCCATGTTAAGAACTGAAAGGCACTGGTCCCCTGTCTGATTGGCAAGGGCTCTCAGAGGAGATAAAGGAGCCTGTCAGGCAGGGCTGCTGCACTCTTCCTGGACTGGGATATGCTTTCCATCTTTCAGGTGTTTGCTGGATAGGATGCCCTTCTTACGAAGGTTCAGAATCTCCAGATGAAGAAGCAGAGGCCAGAGGGAAAGAATGCCATGGAGATAATTCATACGAGTACTGCTTCTGTCAATGGTAATTCAAAAATGACCTGGCCAGGAGCCAAGATAGATGCAGGAACTAGGAAGACAGAGGAAGGGAACAAGCAGAAGGAGCGGCTGACAGATCGGTCTGCAGTGCACCATAAGAAGACGGCTCTGCCAGTCTAATGCATTCGAGCGATATCTTGTTGGTAGAGAAATACCCTAATGATGTGACCTCTCTGAAGTGTGACATTTAGCTGGGCGTGATAGCCTGTAATCCCAGTGGTTTGGGCTTTGGGAGGCCAAGGCCAGAAGACCACTTAAGGTGAGGAGTTCAAGACCAGCCTGGGCAACATAGCAAGACCCCATGTCTATAATAAAAAATAAATAAACATAAACTATCTAGGCATGGTAGTGTGCACCTGTAGTTCTAGCTACTAGAGAGACTGAGGTGAGAGGATTGCTTGAGCCCAGGAGCTCAAGGCTGCAGTGAGCTGTGATCATGCCACTGCACTCCAGCCCTAGTGACTGAGTGAAACCTTATAAAAATAAATTAATTACATTTAATTGAATTTAAAAGTGTGATCTTTATCTTATTTATTTATTTATTTATTTTTGAGACAGAGTCTGGCTTTGTCACCCTGGCTGGAGTGTAGTGGTGCAGTCACGGCTCACTGCAGCCTCAATCTCTGATCCTCCTGCTTCAGCCTCCTAAGTAGCTGGGAATACAGGCATGCGCCACCATGCCCGGCTAATTTTTATTTTTTGTAGAGATGAGGTCTCGCTATGTTGCCCAGGCTGGTCTTAAACTCCTGGCCTCAAGCAGTCCTCCCTCCTCGGCCTCCCAAAGTGCTGGATCTACAGGCATGAGCCACCATGCCTGGCAAAAGTGTGATCTTTGGATTTAATATCAATACTGACTGAATTCCAGACCCCTTTGCTTTTGTGTAAAATCACCCCCTGCTGCTTCTCTTAATGGTGGGGTCCTTGGATAGAAAAAGATAGGAGCAAGGCCCCCAGGTATCTCAGAGTTTGGAGACAAAAAGGATACTTCAGGCTCAAGAATCAGAAAGTACAGAGTTGGACAAAGTATTAGGGTTCTCTAGAGGGACAGAACTAATAGGATAGATACAAGGCCGGGCACAGTGGCTCACACCTGTAATCTCAGCACTTTGGGAGGCCGAGGCAGGCAGATCACGAGGTCAGGAGATCGAGACCATCCTGGCTAACACAGTGAAACCCCGTCTCTACTAAAAATACAAAAAAATTAGCCAGGCATGGTGGCGGGCGCCTGTAGTCCCAGCTGCTCGGGAGGCTGAGGCAGGAGAATGGTGTGAACCTGGGAGGCGGAGCTTGCAGTGAGCCGAGATCGAGCCACTGGGTGACAGAGCTAGACTCTGTCTCAAAAAAAAAGGATAGATACATATAAAGGGGAGTTTATTAGGTATTAACTCACATGATCACAAGGTCCCACAATAGGCCGTCTGCAAGCTGAGGAGCAAGGAGAGCCAGTCCGAGTCCCAAAACTGAAGAACTTGGATTCCGATGTTTGAGGGCAGGAAGCATCCAGCACGGGAGAAACATGTAGACTGGGAGGCTAGGCCAGTCTCTTTTTCACATGTTTCTGCCCGCTTTTTTTTTCATTGCCTTTTTTTTATTATTATTATACTTTAAGTTTTAGGATGCATGTGCACAACATGCAGGTTTGTTACATACGTATACATGTGCCATGTTGGTGTGTTGCACCCATTAACTCATCATTTAGCATTAGGTATATCTCCTAATGCTATCCCTCCCCCCTCCCCCCACCTCACAACAGTCCCTGGTGTGTGATGTTCCCCTTCCTGTGTCCATGTGTTCTCACTGTTCAATTCCCACCTATGAGTGAGAACATGCGGTGTTTGGTTTTTTGTCCTTGCGATAGTTTGCTAGGAATGATGGTTTCCAACTTCATCCATGTCCCTACAAAGGACATGAACTCATCATTTTTTATGTCTGCATAGTATTCCATGGTGTATATGTGCCACATTTTCTTAATCCAGTCTATCATTGTTGGACATTTGGATTGGTTCCAAGTCTTTGCTATTGTGAATAGTGCCACAATAAACATACATGTGCATGTGTCTTTATAGCAGCATGATTTATAATCCTTTGGGTATATACCCTGCCTGCTTTTTATATTCTAGCCACGCTGACAGCTGATCAGATGGTGCACACCCAGATTAAGGGTGGGTCCGCCTCTCCCAGTCCCCTGACCAAATGTTAATCTCCTTTGGCAACACCTTCACAGACGCACCCAGGATCAATACTTTGTATCCTTCAATCCAATCAAGTTGACACTCAGTATTAACATCACAGACAACTTCGCAGAAGGATGTATAACAGGCTAGATGCGGTGGCTCATGCCTGTAATCCCAGCACTTTGGGAGGCTGAGGTAAGCGGATCACTTGAGGCCAGGAGTTCGAGACCAGCCTGACCAACATGGTGAAACCCCATCTCTACTAAAAATACAAAAATTAGCCAGGCTTGGTGTCAGGCACCTGTAATCCCAGCTACTCGGGAGGCTGAGGCAGGATAATCTCTTGAACTGGGGAGGCAGATGTTGCAGTGAGCCGAGATCACACCATTGCACTCCAACTTGGGCGACGAGAGTGAAATGCTGTCTCAAAAAAAAAAAAAATAGATGTATAATTGTCCTTGAGACCAAGCCATTGACCAACGGCTACTCCCTCACCAAATCTTAATAACCTGACACCCTTAGGGCTGTTCCTGGGATGAACTACAGGCTAGGCCACCTCACACTGAGGGCTCCTAAGGCTCCTTGCTTCTGTAGCCCTCCATGGCCTCAGCTGCCCTGCACTACCAGGACAGCAATGTCTGGAGGCCTGCCCTTCCTCCACCATCGACACACTCTAGCATGTTTATCCTGATAAAATCAGGATATACCAAACCCCTGCAACAGTCTTGAAGAGGAAGGGAAGTAAAAGGCCAATATATAACAGGAGATATGAGAAGAAAGAGAAATTCACTCCTGTTCAATAGGGCTAGTGGGAAAAGGCAACTTTTTTTTTTAATTAATATGGACCCTGAGTTTAATACTAGTGAGGATTTTTTCCATTGCAATTAAAAGAAATCCAGTTGCGATTGGCTGGAGCAAAATTTATGTATCTATCAGGCCCAGCTGCACACAGAGCTTACAGGATGTGGTCAGGACTAATTTCCCTCCAACTCATAGCTGGGCTTTCCTTTACATTGGCCCCACTCTCAGACAGGCATTGGCAAGATGGCTCCCAGAAACTCCAGGTGTGTACCCAACTATATTCTTTCTTTCTTTCTTTCTTTTTGAGACAGAGTCTTGCTCTGTCACCCAGGCTGGAGTGCAGTGGCGCAATCTCAGCTCAATGCAACCTCTGCCTCCCGGGTTCAAGTGATTCTCCTGCCTCAGCCTCCCAAGTAGCTGGAAGCACAGGCACACACCACCAAACCCAGCTAATTTTTGTATTTTTTTAGTAGAGATGGGGTTTTACCATGTTGGCCAGGCTGTCTCAAACTCCTGACCTCAAGTAATCTGCCCACCTCAGCTTCCCAAAGTGCTGGGATTACAGGTGTGAGCCACCATTCCTGGCCTACCCAACTATTTTCAATTCTACTGATTGCAGTTTCAAGCAAAGTCCCAGAACTGAGTCTCATTGACTGATTCTGGTTACATGCCCATTCCTGGAGCTAGGAGTGAAGTGCTTCCGAACTGTAAGTTCTTGAAAGTGCATTGATTTTTCCGAAAAATCAGAGTGCTGTTACCAGAAGCCTCCAAGACTACACTCGACCACTAAGGATCCCATCTTGAATCATGGCATCCAGGCAACCACTAAAGTATGTGTCAGGAGTCGGCAAAGTATTTATCGATGGGTAATATGAGGAACTTCTGACAAACCCTTGGGACTCAGTCGTATCCACCTTTGTCTCAGTCTTAAAACAGAGCCTGGCATAAATTCTGTGCATTTGATTTAACTACCCACAAGGTAGTTAGAAAAACTGTGTAAAAAATAAAATAAAGAATGTTTAGCAAAAAAAAAAAAAATCTTTCCCAGGTGTCTCAAAGAGGTAGAAACTACTTGGAAGGTTCTAGTTTTATAATTCAAAAGATCTGATGACCTGGGATTGAGATTGTTGTGATGAAAGCCGAGATAACTTTGGTGCTGGACAGAGAGCGTTTTGCTTCTGGTGTGACAGTAGAAAGTGAGAGAAATGTCCCTGGCCATGAAGTGAGATGGAAGGAATGGAAACTTGGGAGAGGGAACAAGAAATGTGGCTCTGGAAGCTGGTGCACCAGGGAGCCTGTGCTGACAGGACCGGATGCCAGAGTCTGTACACCTCTCAGCTCACCAGGGTTAAGCTCATCCACCAAGAGGCCAGACTCTGTAATAAACTACCTTGTGAACTTGAAATAGCTGACTAAATGTTAAATACAAGAAAGGACAAGTGGGCTGGGTGCAGTGGCTCATGCCTGTAATCCCAGCAATGTGGGAGGCCGAGGCAGGTGGATCACCTGAGGACAGGAGTTTGAGACAAGCCTGGCCAACATGGTGAAGCCCCACCTCTACGAAAAATGCAAAAATTAGATGGGTGTGGTGGCACGTGCCTGTAATCCCAGGTATTCGGGAGGCTGAGGTAGGAGAATCACTTGTAAATGGGAGGCAGAGGTTGCAGTGAGCCGAGATTGTGCCGCTGCACTCCAGCCTGGGCAACACAGCAAGACTCCATCTCAAAAAAAAAAAAAAAAAAAAAAAAAAAACAGAATAGGGATGGAGGAAAGTCAGAGGTCCCAGAGCCATGGATCCCAGGAGCAGAGTCTTTGGAAGCGAACATATAGGCTTCAGAGTGAAGAACAAGGTCTGAAACCAAGCAGTGCTGCAGAAGCCCTGAAGGACACCTAACCTGGGTGTGGGAGAGGAGACCCAGGAGGCTTCTCAAAGGAGGTGGCATAGACCTGAGTCTTAAGAAACTGCTGAGCAGATGGATCTGAGCCACAGTTATTTTGTGACTGCTGTTCCTCAGCCTTTATCATGCAAGAAGCATAATAGGTTGGTTATTGTCAGGCTGATTATCACAGGGAGATGATATCACATTGACTGCACTGGGGTAACTACCAAGCAGAAATCATAGCTCCATGCCTGTAATTACAGCTTGGGCACTATGACCTCTTGTGGTGAGTGGTATCCTATGGTCCCAAAACAGGTGGTCCGGTCAGGATGGACCATCAGGGTGCTGCAGCTCCCATGGTCAATGGGAAGCGCAGGAATGGAGGCCTGGACCTCACAGGAAGATCAGGAGTTGTAGCTGACTTGGAAAAAGTGTGTTCACATAAGGGTAGGCTATGAGACTATCTTCTCCAGAAATCTCCCTCGATTCAGAATCAGCTACTGTTTGGGTAGTGGCAAGGGCATGCCTGCCTAGAATGTGGAGGGGAAGAACCAGTTGACCTCTGAAGATCCCATTTGTCATTGGAGCCCATAGTTCCAGAATCTGCCTCTGTGTTTCTAACTTATCCCAAGGATCTTGGTTCAAGGTGCTGCCCTGGGCCTTTCCCTCAAATTAATTAGTGACGTTTCAGGTTTCACCCTACATAGGAAAGACAGCCCATTGTGTCCCCCACCTGTACACCAGTGCCACAGATGTGGGAAACCCACAGGGGCCTAGAGAGGTTGAACACTTTGCAAAGGCCACTTAGCAAACCATAAATAAGTCCGGGCACGGTGGCTCATGGAGGGTGGGCAGATCACTTGAGCCCAGGAGTTCATGACCAGCCTGGGCAACATGGCGTGAAACCTTGTCTCTACAAAAAATAAAAATAAATAGCTGGGCATGGTGGCATGCACCTGTAGTCCCAGCTACCTGGGAGGCTGAGATGGGAGAATTGCTTGAGCTCAGGAGGTTGAGGCTGCAGAGAGCCAATATTGAGCCACTGCACTCCAGCCTAGGTGACAGGGTGAGATCTTGTCTCTAAATTAATTAATTTAAAAAATAAAACAAAAATAAAACGTTGTCTGTGGTTCCTAACAGAGAACCAATACTCCTCCATGTAACACTACAGGTTTAGCTTTTCGTGCCCATAAACTTGCTCTTTACCCCTGACACCAAGTCCCAGAAGAAGCTAAGAAGGCAGATGAAGCCAGACTGGAGCAATGCCTCCCCCACTCCTCCTTGCCTCTGGCAAGCACCTCTCTATGTCATCCTCACTTTCAGTTCCAGTAGACGAAAGGGCCTCTAAATCAGTTGAGAGAGGGATGCTGGGGAAGACTCAGCAAAAGTCTTAAAATGCCTCATATCTCAGTTGTTGCTCTCTTTTTGTTTCTGGTGGATGCCCCATGAGAGTGTGCACTTAGGACTAAGAACAGACCTCCTGAAGAACTTGCTTGCATCTCGTAGCTAAAAGCAGGGGTATGTAACCCAGGGAGGCTACAAAGTCTTCTTCTCTGAGCATTCACTATCTTTTGAGCCACCTGCAGTTCAGTTTGGAGGCA
This sequence comes from Homo sapiens, assembly GCF_000001405.40. Lineage (NCBI taxonomy): Eukaryota > Metazoa > Chordata > Mammalia > Primates > Hominidae > Homo > Homo sapiens. Next base: position 203,616,714 of record NC_000001.11, read on the forward strand.
GGGGCATGGGTGGAGAGACTTCCCAAGAGTACAGGATGCCTCCTTCTCTAGAGGTCTGGGAAGACCCAAAGGAGCTGGGAACAGAGTCAGGCAGACAGTTGTTGGGTAGTGAGCAGTTTATTTAAAAACATTCACCCAGTTGGCTGGGCCTGAGGCCTTATGCCTGTAATCCCAGCACTTTGGAAGGCCGAGGCGGGTGGATCGCCTGAGGTCAGGAGTTTGAGACCATCCTGACCAATATGGTGAAACCCCATCTCTACTAAAAATACAAAAATTAGCTGGGCATGATAGCGCACACCTGTAATCTCAGCTACTCAGGAGGCTGAGGCAGGAGAATTGCTTAAACCTGGGAGGCAGAGGTTGCAGTGAGACAAGATCGCGCCATTGCACTCCAACCTGGGCGAAAAGAGCGAAACTCCATCTCAAAACAAAACAAAAATTCACCCAGTCCAGCTCTCTGCCCCAAGTAGCCTGGTCTCCACCTCTACTCTGCACACTTCCCAGGTTAAATACAGAGAGTAGTTATCCTTTTCCCGCCTTCCTCCCCCATGGACCAAGAGCCTCTGTGGTGAGCACAAAACATTTTCGCCATTCTCAGCTCTTGTTACAGTGAGATGGACACACAGCCTAGACAGACATTTAAAATTTCTGTCTTCCCTGCTGCCCCAGACACTCAGGGTTGGGCCTGAATGCTCCTTTCTCTCTCTCTCTTTTTTTTTTTTTTTTTGAGGTGGAGTCTCACTCTGTTGCCCAGGCTGGAGTGTAGTGGTGCCATCTCAGCTCACTGCAACCTCCACCTCCCAGGTTCAAGTGATTCTCCTGCTTCAGCTTCCCGAGCAGCTGGGATTACAGGTATCTGCCACCATACCTGCTAGTTTTTGTAGTTTTAGTAGAGACAAGAGTTTCACCATGTTGGCCAGGCTGGTCTTGAACTCCTGACCTCAGGTGATCCACCTGCCTCGGCCTCCCAAAGTGCTGGGATTATAGGCATGAGCCACCACGCCTGGACGACACCTACTTCTTAGGACTCCAAAAGTAAAAGGCAATAATGCAGGTAAAGTGGCTTGCTTCTTTGTTTGGCACATAGTAGGCTCAAGAAGTGTTAGCTGGATGAATGACTGAAAGGTAAGCGCACAACATGAGCATTTGCTGGGGCCAGGCTGGGAAGCCATGGCTTCACCAGCTATATGTCTGGAAGGGGTCGTGAAGATGGGGGTCAGGAGCTGCTAAGTCACGGAGAGACTGAAGAGAGCTGAGCACCTCTGATAAAGTAAATTGTACACTAGGTTTCTGGGAGGGCCTGCCTCCTGTGGTCTCCCCAAAATGAGAAGGTGAGTTTCAGAAATCCAGGCTCCAGTGTCATCTGGAGAAGCAGAAGAGCTGGGATTCAGTTCCTGGCAAGGAGATAGGTTCCACTGCCACCTCTCCTTTCCCAGCATCCCCTCCCAGCCAGGGCTTCTCTCCCCAGTTCTCCCCAAATCTGTGGATCCTGAAGCCTGCAGAATTGGCCCGGAATGTAGACGGCAAGAAAGCCTGTCACACCAAGGCAAGGGAAAGAGGCTTGGGCCAGCAGTTAAAGGATTTCTGTTATATTTCTACCATGAACTGTGTGATACCAAACAATGTAGTCAGCCTTTCTGAGCCTCAGTTTCCCCAACTGTAAGATGGGAATAATAACTCATGCCCTATTCTTCCTGCCATATAGGACTATTGCAAGGATCAAATTAAATATTTTACGTAGTCCCTTAGCTGGAGCTCAGTGGGTTTGTAAACTGCAATGTACTGTGCAAACACAGAACTATTAAAGGCTCTGGAACAGGGGGCTTCTGGGGTGGGACAGGTTGTAAACTCTATCTAGCATGGGGTCAGCAAGGATCCTTCCAGTTGGGCTTCCTTTTTGATTTTCATTTGAAACTTAATGAGCACTTAGGGCATTGCTGATTCTCTAATTAGGATTCAAAATTCAATTTAAAAACCATTGCTTGTTCCCTTCACTCCACACTCACTTCCTCAGCTCTATTGAGCCCAACCATTAACCAAAAACTATTTTTAAATGGCATTAATTTGTTATACCCTGAAATAAATGAGAGACAAATATTTTGTTAGAAAAACAAATCATGAACCAAACGCGTTAAAAAAAAATAATAACAGCCTAGTTAATGAGTTCAAAGTGAAATTAAAATCAAACAACTGCAGCTTCCAAAGCAATTGAACCAGAATGAAATTAGAACAGCAAAATATGCACCCAAGTAAATCAAACAAATTCTGTATCTCATCGAAAGTACTGAATCAGAAAGATGCTTCTGGCCCTCACCTCCCGTTTCGGGTTTTCTCATGTCAAATTCTGCACTCCTTCATTTAACAGTATGCACAGATGCCTTTGATGTTCTAGTCACTGGGGATGCAAAGATGGAGAAGAGACAATCCTCTGCCTCCAGGAGCACACAGCCCAACACACAGGTTTTTCCCATGAACACAGGCTGTCTCTGCCCAGCTTAACCCACCTCTAACACAGTGGCCGCCTAGATGGCAGAGTAACATGGAACGCTTGGCATCCCTAGTAATCCTCATTATTGCCAGAATCAGAGCATGAAACCAGCAATACACAAAGAACAAAAACCCAACAAACAAAAGTTGAGCCACAAAGATCTCTGTGGTGACACTAACTAGGTGGTCCTCTGAGACCAGCTCCTCAAGCCCTCAGAGAAAGTGTCCTTTGATTTAATTCTGCATCCCACCCTTGCAGATTCAGACACCCTTTCTAATGATCTCTGTAAAGGCTGTTCCATCCAGTCCTCTCACAGGAATTCCAGGAAGTGGGAAAAATGAAATTGTTGCTTGTCAAGTGTAGAAGACCACCCACACTCAGCAAGGGGGTGAGCTGGAAGCCAGCCCTCCCATGGAGGACCCAGCAAGGTTCTTGCAGTGGAGAAATAGCCCAGCCTGCTGCTGCTATTGCTGCTGAAACAGCTGCTGATATTTGCTTCTCTCTCATATAAATATAGCAAGAATTATTCATCTTTATCTTTCTTGGACCCTCTTAGCTGAAGTCACCATTGTCTTCCCTGAGCAGACCCTCCCTGATTCCTGAAGCAACGCTCAATCTGAACTTGAGAATTAGTTGTTGTTTTTCGTTTTTGGTCTTGTTTTTGAGACTGAGTCTCAGTCTGTCGCCCATGCCGGAGTGCAGTGGCGCGATCTCCACTCACTGCAACTTTCGCCTCCTGGGTTCAAGCAATTCCCGCTTGAATGGGAGGCTTGAACTCAGCCTCCTGAGTAGCTGTGATTACAGGCGTATGCAACCATGCCCAGATAATTTTTTTGTATTTTTAGTAGAGACGGGGTTTTGCTGTGCTGGCCAGGCTGATCTCGAACTCCTGACCTCAAGTGATCTGCCCACTTTCATCTTCCAAAGTGCTGGGATTACAGGCGTGAGCCACCACGCCCAGCCAGAGAATTAGTTGTTTTGATTGTACATGAGAATGTCTTGGAGGGTAAACCCTGGCTATCTGTGTCTCCATCTAGCAGCCTTCTCTGATCTCCTGCCATCTTGACCTAAGCCAAGTCCAAGGACTTCTGCCTTGGTATCTCTGCCTAGCGTTCATGCCCCCAGTCCCTTAGCTGGAGCTCAGTGGGTCTTCCTGGATCCAGTTTCTTCCCCATTAGAACCCTTGCCCTGGGTTTTGTATAATAAGGATAGACAAAGGACATGGGGGCAGAAGTTACTCAGATAAATACATCTGTCTACCCTGCAGCCATCACCAGGCCTGCTCTGCAAGGAGGTAGAAAGAAAAGCATTAGAAATAATCGAAAAGTCCAACTGGAGTCTCACCAACTCTAAGAAGCCTTCTGCAAAGCTTCCAGCCCATCTTCAGCTTTCCTTCGCTAAACTTTCACTGGGTTTTTCACCTGGAACAAAGTTTTAGACTTCAGCATATACTTTATTCTGTTGTTATCTGCTTTATATATCTCCACAACCAGATTAGAGGCTTCTGGAAGGCAGGGACTATGTTACATATCACTATGTTCCATAACACTGCCTAGTAATGCATTGTGCCTGGATTATCCCTCCCACCATCTTTAGGCTTGCAGTCTACCCTACACACTACTGCCACAGCCAGCTTACTAAACACAGACCCAGTGAGGCCACTCAGGGCCCTCCATTGACTGAACTCAAACTACCTCCCCAGTCTTTCTCCTCTACTCTTTTTTCTTTTTTCTTTTTCTTTTTTTTTTTCTTTTTTTTTTTTTTTTGAGACAGACTATCACTCTGTCACCCAGACTGGAGTGCAGTGGTGCAATCTCGGCTCACCGCAAACTCTGCCTCCTGGGTTCAAACTATTCTTGTGCCTCAGCCTCCCAAGTAGCTGGGATTACAGGTGTGTACCACTACACCCAGCTAATTTTTTTACTAGAGATGGGGTTTTGCCATGTTGCCCAGGCCAGGCTTGAACTCCTGGCCTCAGGCAACCCACCCACCTCGTTCTCTATTCTTTCTACCTCCAGACCTTTGCTCATGTCCCACCCTAACCCCGCCTCCATCCAAAACAGTTTAAAGCTTGCTTTTCAAGATTTTTCAGGTACTTGCAAATATTATCTCCTTCCTAGAGCCTTCTAATATTCCCATCTGAGGCAATCACTCCCTAGCATTTCCTAGCATTTTATATTTCATCTTTTAATATGTACTACCTAGCACATAGTAAGCATTCAGTAAATACATTTAAAAGATTATAGCATCTTTGATTGTAGCTACTCATGCTATGAAAGCATCTTTTCCTTCTACTAAACTATAAGCTTATTACCTCTGTATACCTCATCTGGGCCCAGTAGATGTTGAAACAGTAGACATTCAATAAATGTATGCTAAATTGAATAGTAGGTGTTCAGAGATACTTAACTGAATGAATAAAATGCACAGAAATGACTGAATCTAAATGGTAGCTAGTAGCTCAAAGACTTTCTATATTACTTTCTACACTACATTTCTACATTACTTAGTACAAGTGACCAAAAAACCTAGTTTCATCTAGCGTAGGCATGCACAATGAGTCATGTAACTCATTTGTAGGAAAGGCAGGGGTACAGTGGGATATGAGGTACAACGAACTCCAGTGCTGCTGGCACTCACTCCTTAGCTTTCTCGTCTGCCTCTCTTGCATGCGAGCTGTATTCTTTTTTATTGCAGGCTTCTTCCATGGGGCAGGGAACTTGACCCCTGATACTTCCAGAGTATAAGATACTTGACCTCTGATACTTCCAGAGTATCTCTTCACAGTAGTCACAGCAGGGACCAAGCCTTGTTTTCTGTTTAATCGTAAGTGCAAAACTCTCAGGAAAGGATGTAATTGGCTCAGCTTGGGTCAGGTGGGGTTAGGACTGCTAATAAAATGTCAGTTTCAATTGTTGTTTTTTGTTTTGTTTTGTTTTGTTTTGAGATGGAGTCTCACTCTGTCACCCAAGCTGGAGTACAGTGGCACGATCTCAGCTCACTGCAACCTCAGCCTCTGGGGTTCAAGTGATTCTCGGGCCTCAGCCTCCTGAGTACCTGGAATTACAGGCATGCCCAGTGATTTTTTTTTGTATTTTTATTTATGTATTTATTTACTGATACAGAGTCTCACTCTGTCACCCAGGCTGGAGTACAGTGGTGCAATCTCAGCTCACTGCAACCTCCATCACCTGGTTTCAAGCGATTCTCCTGCCTCAGTCTCCCGAGTAGCTGGGACTACAGGCGCGCACCACCGTGCCAGCTAAGTTTTGTATTTTTGGTAGAGACGGGGTTTCACCATGTTGCCCAGGCTGGTCTTGAACTCCTGACCTCAAGTGATCCAACCACCTCGGCCTCTCAAAGTGCTGGGATTACAGGCATGAGCCACCATGCCTGGCCCAGTTTCCATCTTAACAGTGAGAAGAAAGGACGTCCCAAAGAACTGGGTTCGGGCATGGGGAAAATGGCTGCTGTTCTAGCCAAGGCAAAATGGTAGATATTCACAACAGGGAGTCATGCAGTCTGCATTCGGGGGAGGTACAGGAAATGGTGAGGAAGATTTGGAAAACTCAAGGTGGAGTCATCAAGAGGCAGAGGAACACATTCTGTTAAACACCTAAGTGAGAGACAGTGCTGACTGCATTTTCCTCAAGTGAGAGATGGGGTAGGGACAGGGTCCACAGTGATGTAAGCCCTGTAGAGACTGACCTGCTATGGGGAGTTCAGGAGGCTGAGGAGAGCCAGGCTAGATCTAAAGAACAGGAACCTGTAAAGTCAAGAGTACAGCAGGGAGAAGAGGGAAACAGGACTGCTCAGAGCTGAGCAGAACAGGCAGACTATGAACTTCTGATGCCAGAGGCAGTGTCCTCCTTCTTGCCCCAGGGGGGCCAACTCCATTTTCCCACATCTAGTGGTTATTTTTATGGATAGATTTATTTTTACCCGTTCTAGACCTCAAACCTGCCGCTGCAAGAAGCGAAGCACTGAGGCTTCTAGCTTTCCAGAAAACACAGGCCTCAGTGGTCAGCTCAGTGACAGAGATCAGGCTATGGTCCCCTCGGCTCCTCTGGGGTCACATTGACCCACCCCCCGACATCCCTCCCTCCTGTCTGCAGCAGAGCTGGGGTGGGAATGGAGTGGGAGGGGGATTCCTTTTTTCTCATCCCACAACCCCACAGCCGGTCAAGGGGAGGATCTACAGCCACCCTGGAAGTCATAAACCTGGCCTGCCCCTGAATCCTAGCCAGCCAGATGTGGGACAGCCATCAGAGCCTCTTTTGACAGCACCTCCCTGGCAGAGCCTGTCTCCCTGGAATCCAGGGAGCTTGAGGGGAAGATCTTACCTTTCCAATAATAACCAGCTATGAAAGGGTATCATTTCCCAGTCCCCACAAAACAGGCAGCCAAAGCAGACTTCTTCTTTATTGGGACCATACATCTGGCCTAAATTGTCATTCCCCCAAGACAAGTTTACTGAACAGTTAGGCAATGCCTCCACACACAGCCACTGCAGACGAGCTTAAAATATACTTTAATACATTTAAACAGTCATTTCAGAGACTGGCTTTCTTATGATAAAGATGCAACTGACACTCATTGGTGCTAAAATGTCATGTTGTTGCCATCCAGCAGGGAGCCTGACAAGCCATTAAATCTGCAGCTCTGTTAAGCTGATTCATTTCTTTTCCTTTCTTTCTCATGTCTTCCCCAACAATTGATTTGGGCTCCTGAAGCTGATATTTTGCTAGGGTCTACCAAAATCTAACAAGGGTGCTGTGCATTGTAGGGTGTGCCCGTAGTCCCAGTTTCTAGGAAGGCTGAGGCGAGAGGATCACTTGAGGTCAGGAGTTTAAAAGCAACTTGGGCAACACAGGGAGACCCATAATGAAAAAAAAGAAGGAAGGAAGAAGGAAGGAAGGAAGGAAAGGGAGGAGGGAAGGGAGGGAGGAAGGAAGAGAGGAAGGAAGGACGGAAAAAAGGAAGAGAAAAAGAAAGAAAGAGAAAGAAAGAGAGAAAGAAAGAAAGAAAGAAGGAAGGAAGGAAGGAAGGAAGGAAAGAAAGAAAGAAAGAAAGAAAGAAAGAAAGAAAGAAAGAAAGAAAGAAAGAAAGAAAGAAAGAGGGAGGGAGGAAGGAAGGAAGGTAGAGGGAGGGAAGGAAGGAAGGGAGATGGAAGGAAGGAAGGGGAAAGAAAGGGAGAAAGGAAGGGAAGGGAAGGGAAGGGGAGGGAAAAGGAGGGAAGGGGAGGGAAAAAGGAGGGAAGGGAAGAGGGAGGGAAGGGAAGAGGGAGGGAATGGAAGAGGGAGGGAAGAGGGAGGGAGGAAGGAAGGAATCTAACAAGGTACTAACTGTTCTTGAAATGCCCTGGGAAGGTGGGAGTGACTAGAGGAGTTGCAAGAGGCTGAAATGAGAACAAAGGTCACCTTTAGTGTCCTGTAAGTGCCTTGAGTGTCAGACAGTCAATCACTAGACAAAAAAGACCAAACAATCCATAGTTCCCATAGAGGGTGACCCTAAAATCTCCCCTTACCCCTGCAACTTTCTTCGGCTGCTGGCAGGGAGAGGCACAAGCACAGGCAGGGGCTTATTTTTTTTCTCTTGTTTTTAATTTTTTTGTAGAGATGGGGTGGGTCTTGCTATGTTGCCCAGGCTGGTCTTGAAATCTGGCCCCAAGTGATCCTCCCTCCTCAGCCTCCCAAAGTACTGGAATTACACGGATGAGCCACTGTGCCTAGCCAGGGCTTATTTTGGATTTTGTTTTCAGATGACAGCAGGCAATCTCCAGCCTCACATTGATGAACTCTGAGTTCTGAGCCCAGCCCAACCAGTCTAAAAACATTACTGGCCGGGTGCGGGGGCTCACGCCTGTAATCCCAGCACTTTGGGAGGCCGAGGCGGGCAGATCATGAGGTCAGGAGATCGAGACCATTCTGGCTAACATGGTGAAACCCCGTCTCTACTAAAAATACAAAAACAAAATTAGCCGGGCGTGGTGGCAGGGGCCTGTAGTCCCAGCTACTCGGGAGGCTGAGGCAGGAGAATGGCGTGAACCCCGGAGGCGGAGCTTGCAGTGAGCCGAGATCACGCCACTGCACTCCAGCCTGGGCAACAGAGCAAGACTCCGTCTCAAAAAAAAAAAAAAAAACCATAAAGAAAAAAGAAATAGCAGGGTAAGAAAATGAAGAGGAAAAAGAGGACCCAAATGAGAGAACATTGGGAAGGGTGCTAGTTGGACACGGGGGAAACTGGACCCCGTTTCACAACCCTGTTTCTCCATGCACATGTGGCTCTGCTTCTTGGGGGCAGAGATGACAGCAAAGAAGGACAGGGGGTGGTGTGAGCTGTTGGGTTAGAATGATAGGATCAAAGAGGCCTTTTCCCAACCCTCTGTTTAAAAGGTTGGGAAGTAGTGGCCAGTCACCTTCTTCACAGCATAGCTCATAGCTATAACCTGTGAGACATATGTCAATGTGCCTTCCATAAGCATATAAACATGAGTGTGTTTGCTGAGGTAGGTGTGGGAATCTGTCAGTCAATGAAGATATGTTGTGTGAACCAGCTGATGGTGCATGTTTGTGCTTGAAAGCCATAAAGTTCTATGCAAAATCTATGGGTGGCACTGTTGCACAATGCTAGTGGGTGTGTGGGTATGGGGGTGTGATTAACTGTTTACAGGCTGTGTATAAGTGTGCATGGATGTCTGAGTGTGTGCAAATTAAAACGGAAATATGTGCCGGAGTATGATACAAAGTACAGGAAAGTACTCGGGCTTTGGAGTCTGTCTGACTTGGTCTTGAATCGTTGGCTCTGTCATTAGCCGGATGTATAACCTTGGGCCAGACACTCAATCTTCAATTCCCTCAACTAGGAAATGAGGTTAATAATAAGTACCTTTCAAGATTAAATGAGGACTAGAAACGATACCATATAGACAAAGCTTTTGGTGTCATAGCCCACGCATAGCAGGACTCAAAAGTAAGCAGCTATTTTCATGCACTGTCAGTATACCTCTGGTGGGTACAGGGACAAGAGGGAACAAAATGTGACCTGTATATAAGGTGTAGGGGAGGACGGGTGTGTGTGTGTGTGTGTGTGTGTGTGTGTGTGTGTGTGTGTGTGTGTTTACAAAACAATTTATTCTCCTTCTCCAAGGAACCCCCTATTCAGACAGGAGCAGGAAGGTAGGAGGGGACATACAAGTGTCCACAGACACCTCGGGTTTCTGGGTCCTGGATCTAAGTGAGTAAGGGGTTGAGAGGCCCGTAGGAGCTGCAGGAAGCCAGCCGCCTGCCCAAGCTTCCTTTTTTTTCCCCTCCGCCCAGCAACCGTTGAATACCGCCACCCACATCCACTCCCCACCTCCACCCTCACCCCTCCTCCACCCCTACTCAGCTTTCTATTCAACAAGTGAGAGCAAGGGCGGGGAAGAAAGCCGACAGGGGAGAGGATTGCTTCCCTTTCTTTTCCCATTCCCCCTTAAGACGAACCAGGAAGTAACCGCAAGAATCGGGCCACCTTAACAGTAGAGTAATGGTTTGGCCTCGCGCCAAGTCCCACCTCTGTTCCAGCTCCTGCTCCTCCCCTCTCTCTTCCCGCACTGCTTGGGGAGAGCTGGTGAGCAAGAGTCTGGCCCGAGTTAGCTAGAGCTGTTGCCATGACAAGCATTTTCTTAAGAAAGCTCTGCTGTTGAGATCGTCCAAAGCTGGGGGCTGGGAGGGGGGGCACGAACTTCGTGGGGCACCATCCCTCCGAAGAGAGCAAGATCAGAGACACCCGCCCAGCTCTCCTGCACCCTTTTTCTTTCAGGAACCTGAGAGGTCCTTCCCATTGGAGGGGCAGGGGGAGGAGACCCAGCCCACTCCCCGGCCTTAGCCAGAAAGGCAAGAGAGCAAAGCCAGCGTCTCTAGCTTGGTTGCCACACTGGGGAGACTGGTGGGTGGTCACCCCACCCTACCCTCATCCATGGAAACCCGGAGGGAGAGTCCCGCCTGAAGAAACCTGGATCTTTGCTAGAAAGAGAGGTAGGCTTGCAGAGAATGAATTGACTTGTGATTTGCAAACTTTGTTTCTTTCTTTTCTCTCAATGGCTTCTAAAACTCCCCGATTTTCCTCTTTCTAGAATATTTCATGCGACTGGGTTTGGAGGATTTTTTTTAAAATATGTGTGTGTGCACAGATTTGTCAAATACTGTTTTACCTATTATCAGTTCTGAGAAACCATATAGTCGAACAAGTGATTTATCTCTCTTTTCCTAGTTCTTGTCATTCCTGGGCTATGGGGTAGGGTAATGGAGGGTTCTCTTTTTGACACCAAAATTGAGCTCTTGGAAAAAATATTTATCTCCCCTCCCTCAACCCATTCCGTTCCTGCCCTCCCCTTCCCCCCTTGGCTTGGGAATGAGACGCAGGATGGAAAACTGTTGCAAAAATATTTTCCGTGTCTGTTCCCTTTCTCGAAAGCCCAAAAGAGAGATGGAAAAAAAAAAAAAAAAGGAACCAAAGAAATCTTCAGCAGAAAGAGGGGCTGCAGCGGGAACTAGGAGAGGGGCACTTTGGGGCCATGGGGTGGAGGTGGGCTGGGAGAAGTTGGCAGGAGTGGGGAAGGAGAGTGCACGAATTAAATTTCTTTAGCTTTGCAGAGAAACCTCAGCAGTTTCTCTGTGCTGCTTGCAAAACATCCTCAGACTTTCACATGTATAATTAGCTGTGGAAAAAGCTGGGAGTTACCTCGTACCGCTGTTGTTTGAGTGTGTGTGAGCGTCCAGAACCAACTGTATGAGTGTCTCCGAGGGCACCGCCCCACACATCTCTGGTCCCAAAGGGGAGGAAGGAGAAGGGTGAATTGAAAAGTTTCCGATGTCGAGGCTGGACACTGTGGGGCTGGTGAGTGTTTGGCAGATGGGGTGGGCCACAGGCATCTGTGGAAGGATCCCTGAGCGTCTCGGGCCACTGCCTTGGCTTGCTGAAGAGCTAGGAATTAAGACTGGGATTGTCCTTCCTGCTCTCCCTTCTCTCTTTCTTTTACATACTTGGCTCGCTCTTGGTAGAGGGGGCTGCTGGCATCCTTCCCCGAGTCGAGTCTGGCCTCTTACACTCCTCCACCTCCCTGAGGGTACCCGCCGCTCTTCTCCAACTGGGTGTGGAGGGTGCAGGAGTGGCCAGCCGCATCTTGGGAGGGGAGTGGGCACTCTGCTGCCAGAGGCACGTCCCTCCTGGGCATTCCTGCCGGACTTAACAATAACTTGCAGACGTGATGCCGGCGCCTGCTGGCCGGGCAGGGGGAATGTCAGATGAAGAAATAGGCCGGTACTCAACTGAGGCCCCTGTGGAGAGGGGAAAGGAGTGGGGGAGGGAAGGGAAACAAAATCCCATTCTGCAGCGCCCCCCTCCTCTGTGTGAGGAGTCTGGCAGGGAGTCTAGAGACCCTGGCCCTGCTCCTTAAGCCCCTCCCCAAGCTGCCCCTTCTCCACGCGCTTCCCATTGGAGGCCCTACTACGCCCCCTCCACTCTGAGCCCTCTACCTGGAGGAAGGAGACCAGGCTCATTCCAGGCTGGGCCAGGCCCAGGAAAGCAGCCTGGGAGTGACGAGGGGCTGGGCCAGGAGTGTTTAGGAAGAAGGGGAGTGGAAGAGGCCTCCTAGCCCATGTGCTGAGTTACCCTCCTTGGCTGAGGGTGGTGGCTTGGGGAGCAGACTCTGGGAGGGGCAGGAAGGATGGTGGCAGCTTGGTAAGGCGTGTTCTGGAAGGTGGGCCCTAAACCCTGAAGCAGACAAATCTGTGGGAATCAGGCTGGGGGAGAGGAAACACCTGCCTTCAGCCCCAGGGCTTGGAGGAGTGGTAAAGGCTACAGCTGAGACACTGCGGGAGAAGGAAGTAAAACACTTAGAGGAGAGCTCATCTCGGGGCTGGGGATGCAACAGGAACGATTTGATTTTCACTTTGAGGTGTTGATTGATCTGACTGCACCCCTCGGCTAGACAGCTCTTCCCTACCTGTGTTCTGCTCGAGAAGGGAATGAGGCCTTCCCCAGTGGGCAGGGCCCCCAAGACAGAATTAATGCCCGTGTTCTGGAGGGAGGGGATCCATTTCTATACTCCTCCTCGGGAGTCCCATCCTCCCTGCCACCATCTTGCTGAGGTGCAACCTCGAAAATCACGCCGCTTTCGCCGCGGCCTCCCATCGTGGAGGCTCAGAGTGCAGCTATTCCTGCAGCCGGCCTTCCTATTTTCAGTAATCTGATTAGGGGTCGATGTTGGTGGGCTCGGGGACGGCTTCTCCGTGAGGTCGTTATTTAGCGCGCACCGGGTCGCCTGAGCCCGGGGTCGCGGCCAAAGGGGTAATCGGCTCCCGCAGTCTCAGCCCTTCCCCCGGGGCTCGGGGCAGGATTGACTGCGCAACCCTGCGGCCCCTGTGCTCTCCGCGGCCTCTGCGACCCCGCCCCGCCAGCCTCTCCGCCGCTGGGCTCCACCCTCCCGGGCTCTGCTGTAGTCTGAGAACTCCGTGGAGAATGCGAACCGAGCGGCGAACGGAGGCTTCCTGCCTCCCAGGTTGTGCCGAGCCTCAGACCCTTCTCCCTTCCATTTACCACCAAGTCTCTAGATTCAAGGTCAAGTCAAAGGAGCACAGCCCGTCTTACCCCTGGGACTCCCAGCGCCCAGCACGGAGCCTGGGATGTTAGAGCGCTGGGTCAAGGCATGTTGAGAGAAGCACGGGCAGTTTGGGGGCCTTGGAATCAGCCTGACGCCAGCGAGTTCCTAACCCGCCGTCTGGCCTCCAGTTTCCCCTCTGCACAATGGAAAGCCTGCTCTCCACGGTAGAGGTGACAGGGCGTGGCTAGGCAGATTTGTCACACTGCTGTGGTCTTTGTCAGAAGAAAATCAAAATGAGAGGGCCCAGTTAGGGGCAGAAGGAGAGCAGTTAGAATTTGCCGAAGGTGTGGGGGCTGGAAGAGGTAAGGTGATGTGTAGGGGCTGGATGTCCTGGGCCAGGATATCGGGAGGCTTTACTCTTCCCCACTCCCACTAACCGGAGGTCCCGAGAGGAACGGGGTCTGGGCTGCTCCCTGCCACCTGTCAGCAGGTCAAGCCTTCCACCGGAAACTGCCCCTTATTCAAGAATTTAGCTTCTCTCAAAAACTCCGAAACCCCTTTTCTCTCTCTCTCTCTCTCTCTCTTTTTTTTTTTTTTTTTTCAATGCTCCTGGCCTTGGACCCAGCACCCAAAGACATGGATTAGCCCTATCCACTAGGACAGAGCATTGCAGACCCACTAAGCCTTGGAGAGAGAAAAGGATCTTGTTCATTCTTAGTCCCCAGAATGACCAAGACAAACCCCGTTAGCCAAACCCCTAAAAAACTGTTTGGCTTAGGTTAGATTAGCTCCAAGTGTTTGACCTTGAAGGGGAACACCCCACCCAGAGTCTTAACTATCCTTCTCTGGAAGGATTCTTCAGGCAATCTGAATTCTTCCCCCGAAGGGCGCCCCTCAGACAAGGCTCCCTACCCAGCCCAGTTCCCTGCTTCTCAGATAAGCATTGATTCCTGTCATCCCAGTGGGTATTTGGTGGGTAGGGGTGAGAAGGAAAGAGGGATGAGAAAAGCAAGGCCTCTGCCTTGTCAGACTGGGATGACAACCTTTCTCCACTCATGTCCCCTTTTCTGCAGGTCATAGGATTAGAGCAGGCCCTGGGGCTGGAGTCCAAAATGCTTGTGTGGAATGTTTTGCCCTTGGCTTCCTCTGCCAGTATCTCTCCTTGTGTCCTCTTTCCTCTTTCCCTTGTGTGAGCCATTCTTGTTCCACTGACTTATTTCCTCTGTACATGTTAAAACAGAAATGACAGGGACTTTCTATTTCTGCCTCTACCTTAAGCCAGTCCTCTGTGTTCAGCCTACATGAACTTGAGTTGAGGAGGGAAACCAGGCAGGATCTAGTGAGGACCAGAGCCAAGGGCTCTGGGTCAGGGAAGAGGCTTGAGAGGCAGTCTATGTGTGAAGGATAGTGGAGAGGCCAAAGGAAAGGAAAGGATTGAGAACATAGGTGCCAAGGGGCAGAGCCCCCATTTCTACCTTTCCTCACCCCAGTTCCTCTCTGCCTAAGATCCTCAGCCTCATTACTCACCTCTGCTCTAGTTTCCCAAGTTTCATGCACAAATCCCTGGGACAACTCAGGGAAGATGAACTGGGATGGGATTACTAAGACCCCCTTCCTCTTGCCTTTCTGCCACTTCACTTGGGGTGTGGCAAAGGGAGTTTGGAGCAGTGCGTTTATTGGTAGGAAGGTCAGGGACTCTCAGCTAGGTTCAAGGAAAGTCTTAGCTTAGAACACCTCATGGCAAGGTCTACCTAGGTTGCGAAATCAATGCCAGGAATACAAACAAGTAGTATACCCTCAATACTAACAGCCCATCTAACATCCCAGGCTCCGTGCTGGGCGCTGGGAGTCCCAGGGGTAAGACGGGCTGTTAGTATTGAGCCCGGGAAGTTAGCAATATCTAACAAAGCTACGTACACATTTACCCAGCAATCCTACGTCTAGGAATTTATCCAGAAGGTGCTCATTCACAAATATGGAAAGCTACGTACAAGGTGATTTTTGTTTGTTTGTTTGTTTGTTTTTTGAGACAGAGTCTCGCTCTGTCGCCCAGGCTGGAGTGCAGCGGCGCGATCTCAGCTCACTGTAAGCTCTGCCTTCCGGGTTCAAGCAATTCTCCTGTCTCAGCCTCGTGAGTAGCTGGGATTACAAGTGCTAGCCACCACACCGGCTAATTTTTTGTATTTTAATAGAGATGGGGTTTCACCGTGTTGCCCAGGCTGGTCTCAAACTCCTGAGCTCAGGCAATCTACCTGCCTGAGCTGGGATTATAGGTGTGAGCCACCAAGCCCAGCCACAAGGTGGTTTTTAAAGGCATATTTACAATAGGAAATCATTGGAAACTATCCAAATGCCCATTCTTTAAAAAATGGTTAAACAAACAATGGTACAGTCCATACAATAGAATCCTAGGTAGCCAAAAAGAAAAAAAAAAGAATGACTAGGAGCCCTGTGAACTTATATGACATGATTGTTAGGATATATTATTAAGTGAAAAAACCAAGACATAGTACAGTATATAGTATGCCACCTTTGGGATAAGAAAGCAGGAGAAGTAAGAAATTTTTTTTTTTTTGAGACAGAGTCTCGCTCTGTTGCCCAGGCTGGAGTGCGGTGGTGGGATCTCGGCTCACTGCAAGCTCTGCCGCCCGGGTTCACGCCATTCTCCTGCCTTATCTTCCTGAGTAGCTGGGACTACAGGCGCCTGCCACCACGCCCGGCTAATTTTTTGTATTTTTAGTAGAGACAGGGTTTCACCATGTTAGCCAGGATGGTTTCGATCTCCCGACCTCATGATCCGCCCACCTCAGCCTCCCAAAGTGCTGGGATTACAGGCGTGAGCCACCACGCCTGGCCTAATTTAAGTACTTTTTAACCTTCATTCCCTGATTCTATATTCATATTTTAAGTAAAAAAAAAAAAAAAAACCACCTACAAAGAAATCTTGACCTTTACTTTGTAGACATGTTATTGGTTGTGGTATTTGTGTCATAAATTGGAAACTGTTTCGTTTATTGTATGATAGATGAAATGAGTAACTATGGTGATATTTCTGGAAATCAGGGTCTCACTATGGAAAAAGAGAGATATAAGTATGGAATGGGGGAAGGGGAAAAAGAATCTTTCGGGGTTTTTTTGTATATCTTGTGGGTCTGTCCACTGAAAGGACTGTGGAAAGGAACACACCTAGTACCTGGATTTTTATTTCTAAGTACAACTTCCCACGGGGGAGGTTGTAAGGAACAGTGCTCCTTGAAAAAATGACTAATTTCAAGTCTGAGACTGGGAAAGTATAAGTGAACTGTGTTGTGCCAGAAACTAGAGCATGCTCATGTCATGACATGTTGTCACAGGAGCTGGCTTAAAGGGTCTCCCGCCAACCAGAGGTGAAACACATTAAGCATTCCAAAGGATAATGGTAATAGATTGTAACACATTGAATATTAAAAATTCCTTGAGTCTATTTTGACAGTTGACATGGACAGGGAGGAGCAGGGAGGGAAAACTCTGAACAGAAATGCCAACGAGGCCAGACACAAGGCCTCACTCTGTAATCCTACCACACTGGGAGGCCAGGGCAGGAGGATCGCTGGAGCCCAGGCGTTTGAGGCTCCCATGAGCTCTGATCATGACACTGCACTCTAGAATGGGTGATAAAGCAAGACTCAGTCTCAAAAAATTAAAAAGTAAATGCCAGTTGGGCGCAGTGGCTCATACCTGTAATCCCAGCACTTTGGGAAGCCCAGGCAGGTGGATTACTTGAGGTCAGGAGTTTGAGACCAGCCTGGCCAACATGGTGAAACCCTGTCTCTACTAAAAATATAAAAATTAGCCGGAAATCGATTGAACTCAGGAGGCAGAGGTTGCAGTAAGCCAAGATTGTGCCACTGCACTTCCAGTGGGAGACAGAGCGAGACTCCATATCAGATAAATAAATAAATAAATAAATAAATAAATAAAGTAAATGCCAACTAATAAAATCTAGTAGTAATGACAAGATTTTTCTTTAAATTTAATTTTATGTGAGGCTGAGGTGGGTAGATCACCTGAGGTCGGGAGTTTTAGACTAGCCTGACCAATATGGAGAAACCCCGTCTCTACTAAAAATACAAAATTAGCCGGGCGTGGTAGTGCATGCCTATAATCCCAGCTACTCGGGAGGCTGAGGCAGGAGAATCGCTTGAACCTGGGAGGCGGAGGTTGCAGTGAGCCAAGATCACACTATTGCACTCCAGCCTGGGCAAGAAGAGTGAAACTCCGTCTCAAAAAAAATTTTTTTAAATTTAATTTTAATAGAAAAATACTAGTTTCATATATGTATGGGGTGTAATGTGATGTTTTGATATATGCATACATTACGGAACGATTAAGTCAAACTATCAACATATCCATCACCTCACACATTTATCGTTGTTTTTGTAGTGTAAACATTTAAAATCTCTCTTAGCAATTCTGAAACATGCATTACATTAACTATAGTCACCATGTAGTGCAGTAAATCTCAGAAACATTCCTTCTGTCTACTGAAACTTTGCATCTTTTAGCCAACATTATCTTTATTTACCTACCTATTTTTAGAGATAGGGTCTCACTCTGTCAGCCATGTTGGAGTGCAGTGGCCCATAGCCTTGAACTCCTAGGCTCAAGCGATCCTCTTGCCTCAGCCTCCCAAAGCACCAGGATAATGGGTGAGACACAGTGCCAGACTGGAACTTTAAATTGACCAGTTTGCAGCCTCTACTATAATAGCTGATTTAGTCTAGCGTTTAATGGATACTAAAACCACTGGGTGAAAGATTGGTCTTAGCATATCTTAGTTTGGGCTGCTAAAACAACATCATAGACTGGGTGGCTTAAGCAACAGAAATGCATCTCTTTGTTTGTTTGTTTGTTTTTGAGACCGGGTCTTGCTTTATCATCCAGCTGGAGTGCAGTGGCACAATCACAACTCACAGCAGCCTTGATCTCCTGGGCTCAAGCTATCCTCCCACCTCAGCCTCCCAAGTACCTAGGACTACAGGCGCATGCTATCATGCCTGGCTAATTTTCATATTTTTTGTAGAGACGGGGTTTCACCGTGTTGTCCAGATTGGGCTCGAAATCCTGGGCTCAAGCAATCCACCTGCTTCAGCTTCCCAAAGTGCGGGGATTACAGGCATGAACCACCGCACCCGGCCCCATTTATTTATTTATTTATTATTTTTTGAGATGGAGTTTTGCTCTTGTTGCCCAGGCTGGAGTGCAATGCTGCAAACTCAGCTCACCGCAACCTCCGCCTCCTGATTTCAAACGATTCTCCTGCCTCAGCCTCCTGAGTAGCTGGGATTACAGGCATGTACCACTACACCCGGCTAATTTTGTATTTTTAGTAGAGACGAGGTTTCTCCATGTTGGTCAGGCTGGTCTCAAACTCCCAACCTCAGGTGATCCACCCTCCTCAGCCTCCCAAAGTGCTGGGATTGCAGGTTTGAGCTATCACACTCAGCCCCCATTTATTTTTGAAACAGGGCCTTGTTCTGTCACCCAGACTGGGGTGCAGTGGTGCAGTCATAGCTCACTGCAGCCTCAAACTCCCAGGTTCAAGCAATCCTCCGACCTCAGCCTCCCAAGTAACTGGAGCAGGTGCATGCCACCATGGCTGGCTAATTTTTTTGTTGTTATTGTTGTTTTGTTTTTTTGTAGAGATGGATGACATAGGAAGACTCCACCTCTACAAAATAAAAAATTAGCTGGGCATGGAGGCTGTGCACCTGTCTGTAGTCCTAGCTACTCAGCAGGCTGAGGCAGGAGGATAACTTGAGGCTGCAGTGAGCCGTGATCATGAAACTATACTCCAGCCTGTTGACAGAGTGAGACCCTGTCTCAAAAAAAAAAGGTGAAACTAAGTAAAGGGTCTGCAGTTGTTTATTGTGCTATTTTTTTCAACCTTTCAGGTTTGAAATTTTTCCAAATACTTAGCCAGAGAGAGAAGTCCATGCCAGAGGCACTCCTAGATTCCTGGTTTCTTCTCACTTTATCTGCAAAACTCCTGACCAATAGGAGTGTCTTTTCTAAGCTCTTGGGTGCTGAGAGTCCCCATGGAGCACACAGAGGGATCTTCTAAGAAAGTAAGGTCCTTTAGGAAGCCTACCTTCCCACCCTCACTGCTCCCCACCCACAGCCTCTCCTGTCCAGACAGGAGCACCTGGGCCCTGATGAGTGGGCCACAAAGGGAGGTAGGATGACAGGCATTCTCCCACCATGCCATGGGGCCAGCTGAGGGAACCTGGGGACTGAGGGCTTCCAGAGTCACCCACCTAACTTTTGAGGAGACAGGTCCCAGGCTGTAAGAGAAGAAATTCACCAAACAGCCCAGAGATTGTTGCTGACCAAACCTTTAGTGTCCCTTAGAATTCTCTAATTAGGTGATTCTGAAAGAAACCAGCAAGCAGTGCCTGCCTGGAGCCTTCATGCCTGAGCTAAGCAAGGCCTTCTAGGCACTCCCTTGGCAAGGGCAGCACACCTGGCTGTCCTGTCATTGACCCAAATCATTGTGCTACCCACCCCCGCCTCCCCATCCTGATCGTCGCTCTGGAGAGAGATTGAGTTTCCAGGATGGCTTCTCTCTCTCTTTTTCTCCCTCTCTTCTCCTGGAAACCCTGGGGCTAGGCCCTACATGACTCAGGGCTCTTTTTACGTAGGCTCATGTAGGTGACGGCTATTAATCCTTTAGTCAATTCCCCTTCTGTGTTGGTGAGGGAGCCTGAAAGAGCGGGAGCCAGGAAGTTGGAAGGGGGCAGACAGGGAGGAGTTTGTTCTAGTGGGCTGCCAGGCTTGCCAGAAGAGCACGGGACTGGGAGTCAGAAAACTGGTAATCTGGACTCTTGTCTGCTGTGTAACCTTGATTGAAGCAGGGGATATCTCTGGGCCTTCATCAACTGCACTGTTACATGAAACCAAGTTTGGACATACAGACATTCCTGATTCAAGACCCTCCTCTTCTATAGAAGACAAAGGAGTAAAACTCTCAATGCCCAAACCAAACTCTTTTATCACAGATAGAGTCTAGCACAATGTAACAATTTGCAGCCAAGTCCCATCCTTCTGCCCAGGATGACCAGGGGAAAAGAGGCCAAAAAGCATATGGCTTTGAACTGCCACCATTGATGTTTGGGAGTAGAACAGGTTCTAAGATTTCCCACCTCCACCTGCCGGGAACTTCAATTAGGAAGTACCTTCCAAGGCCGTAATTCTGCTATGTCCTAGGCCAGAAACTAAGGAATATTAGCTAGAGGTAGAGAAATTCAAACTTTCACAAAGTTTCCTAGGGCACATAATCCCCCCAAAAGTTATTATATTGAACCATATGAAAATGCCAATATACGGCTGGGTGCGGTGGCTCACGCCTGTAATCCCAGCACTTTGGAAGGCCGAGGCAGGCGGATCACGAGGTCAGGAGATTGAAACCATCCTGGCTAACACGGTGAAGCCCCGTCTCTACTAAAAATAGAAAAAATTAGCCGGGCGAGGTGGCAGGCGCCTGTAGTCCCAGCTACTGGGGAGGCTGAGGCAGGAGAATGGCGTGAACCCCCGGGGGGGGGCGGAGCCTGCAGTGAGCCGAGATCGCACCACTGCACTCCAGCCTGGGTGACAGAGCAAGACTCTGTCTCAAAAAAAAAAAAAAAAAAAGCCAATATACAACCACTTTTGACCTACAAAGGCAATTTCATGTAGCTCACCTAACAATATTATTCGACACTGGAATAATGTCAGTGGCATTACAGTCAGTGTTGTGAGCTGCAGAGATTAGGTTTTCATCTGAGCTGTGGGTTGGATTAGAAATTCAGGCAAAGTTGCCAGCTGCTAGGCCAGCTTACCCTCCTTGCCAATCCAGACTTTCAGCCCTAGAGGTAGACATGTTGGCAGAGCCCTTGTTTGGACTCTGGTTGAGATTCTAGCATTAGCCTTCCTGGCAACTGGCCAGGGAAGCTGCCCAAGGTAGAGAGGAATGTATCATCCATCTATAGTCTGCTTTTCTTGTGTCCCAAATGCCCTGCTTCCTATCTTGGGAGCTGAAGACGGAGGAAAATTTAAGAAAGGAGGAAATGGAAATACTGGCCCTATTCATCCTCTGTCTAGTGGGATACAAGAGCGGGAACACACACTTGAAATCTCATCTGGTGCAGGGACACATGACCTAGTGATGGCTGGTAACTGCTAATAGGATGGCTGGGGGCTGAAGGGGTCTTAGTGGGAATGGGGAGACTAGAATTTGGCAGGGCTCAACTGGAAATTATTCATGGAGGAGGTGATTGCCAAACAGGATTTTAAAGAGAAAGGACAGATTTGATGGAGGAGGGGAGGGGAGATGGGGAGGAAGGGGTGTGCTGCTACCACCCGACTGAGGACACTCAGAGCATCCTGGAGAATCGGATACTCTGGCAGGTGAGGGAGGCTGTCTGATCCCACTCGCTGGAAGGCCTCCAGCCTTTGTCTGAGCCAGTACCGGTACTGTGGGCAGGATGGCATCTGGCCTCAGCAGCGGCCTGCCACCTGTCTGCTTTCCTGGCACTTATGGACCATTAGGATGATTTTTTGATGTTTTCTCCCTGCTGTCCATATTACAGCCTTCTTTGTGGGGAGCACTCGTACGACATCTGTTAGGATGCAAGGACAGGCACAGCAAGCAGCAAGCATCCATTCCAGGAGCTTTCTGACCTTGTACAGGGGAGGACGGTCACCAGGCTTTGGGCTTGTCACCAGGCTCATTTTACTGAGACAGAGCATTTGAGATGGACAGAGAACTGGCACCTCGAGACTTGCCCAAAGACACTGGGTTAGTTTGAGGCAGAGGTGGGGGTACAGCCTAGTTCTCCCCACTCCAAGACTGGGACCTCGACCCCATCACTGCAACACTGTGTGACCAGATCAACACCAAACTTCCCTGGTTCCCAATGTCTCTACCCACATGGCAGAGAGAACTATCCCCGTCCCTCCAAGGTTGATGTGAGGTCATGTGCTAGGAGCAGTTTGGAAGACAGATTCTAGAAACCATAAAGGTGCTGGTGGCATGATTGTTACTGTTGCTGTTATTATTAACAATTAAGGTCATTAGCACACAGAAAATGCAAAGAAGTATTTGGCACTGCCCGTATCACCGTGCAGCTCCTAACAGTCCCCTCCATGGCTCCTCCTCGCACACTGGGCCTTGAGCTGAGAGAGGCAGAGTAATTGAGAGGGGAAGCAGAAGTCCTGGGAAGAGGTGTGCAGAGATCTCCTCCTGCCGGGGTATTCTTGGCCCTACGCTTTCCTCAGGGTGTGCCTCCTCCAAAAGGTCAGAGGAAGTGCAGAGGGGAAGGAGGGGAAG